>NC_000007.14:148397773-148549288 GCF_000001405.40 Homo sapiens
AATGGTGTGGGGAACCATCAGGAAGCTTTAATAACCAAGGATAATTTGTTTCATCAGTTTCTCCTTGATGGCCATTTGCCATTTCACCTGTCAGGAAGCAAAACTAGTTGTCTTGTGAGATCTCAGGTTAACTCAAGAAGAGAACAGCTCAGACAACAATGGAAGCATATTTAGCATGGAGCTTTTATACTCAGTTCTCTGAAGTCAGCCTTCTTGGAAGAAAATACATTGTCTTGGGATTGGAATTATAAATTTCCCTTGTGCTAATGCAACCGAAAAGAGTATTTCAAAACCAAGAGCCGAACTGGGCATTCATAAAAGACTTAAAATATGTGTAGAATTAATTTTTAAAAGCACTTTAGGTTTGCCCATGCCCCCCTTCTAACCGCACAGTGGAGACAGAATCTGGTCAGCTGTCTGTGGTCTGGGTGACTCCACCATGTTCTCAGCAACGCTCCTCATCTATGTATTATACTAGTTTCTGAAAACTTAAGAATAAAAAGGATCAACCTCACATTTTGATGAAATAGCAGTTACAACACAAACATCCCATGCCTATTGGCAGAACTGGTCCACAGAGCACAGAAGCACATTCATCGTGTAAAGCTGAAAACAGCGTCTTCTGCAAGTTGAGATACCGAGGTTCCAGCAGAAGATAAAAAGCATTTAAAAATATTTAATTATTCACTGAACTCCTTTGAAAGACACAGGATGACAAAGCAGATCAATAATATTCAGCCATTTCCAAAGGGTCCATCCACAGCCAAAGTATGGCCTTTGAATTTACTAGAAATTTCCACAGAGGGAGAGTAAAAGGAATCCCTTCATCCTTGCTTGAGTCCTAAAATAACATGCGCCTAAGTATTCTCACAAATGATGAAGCGCATCTCTTGAGTAGACTTAAGGTGATAAAATGTTATTTTCACTGAGCTCCCAAGCCATACATCATGGAAGTCCAAAGCCCTTACTGATAATTGCATAATGCCCAGGGGATGTGTTTCTCTGCAGAAGTCTGAAGACAATAGATCCAGGGTCTCCTGAAGACTTTCATCTTATGAATTGTGCGAATCCCTGACCACTGCCTAAGAGGAAAGGTGAAATACATCAGAGAATGTCCTTAAAAATATCCCTTTTTGACTTACTATAATTGGTTGCTTTCCTCTTTTAACTATCATAATTTTCTCAGCCACCCTCTCCCTAGAAACTGGGGCTATTTCTATGACTCAGCAAACAACCAATTCTTGCTAATACTGCTTTGCTAATAAGGAAACCACAAGTTCTCTTAGCTGAGACTCCTGTATAGCAGGTGTGTTCACAAAACTTGGTGAGCACCCATATCTGAGACACAGCATTCCATAAAGCCAGAGGCAGTCACCGAGGCTGTCTGACATACCATAATATGCCCGTATGGCTTCAGGCTTTCCACCCTGATCTGGCTGTATCCCGCATTGCACCCATGCAGCAGCAGAACCAGCAGTAAGAATGTTTTGTCAAAAAACAAATCCATAAACTTCAAAAAAATCCACGGTACAGTATTTTTAAAAATACGTCTAGCCAGGCGCAGTGGCACGTGCCTATAGTCCCAGCTACATGAGTCCAGGAGTTCAAGATCAGCCTGAGCAACATAGCAAGACCCTGTCTCTAAAAAGAAAATTTTAAAATGCATCTGTTCTCTCTCATATATGCCTTTAAACGCATCCATAGCATCAAGAACCTAAATGCCAACATCCCAATATTTTTCCTCCCTGATAAACTTGCTTTAGAGATTCAACTTGTATTTTTGCTTTGAACCAGGAAAGGTATCCAAGGTCATACTAAGATAACCATTTATTAAACTCTTTGGCTGTTTTTTCCTAAACTGTAATAAACTCCCCCTCTCCAACATTCAAAATAATAGTAAATAATTCTCTCTGAAATTAACACAGTGTTCCTATTATTGCTTTCACAACACTAAAAAGAAATAGAACTAACGGAGTCGAACTGTGGGGCATTCTGGCAGGCAAATCATTAAATTCACACAAATGATTCGGCCAAGGGAAAAAGGACAAGGTTCTCAGAAGGAATTATTTCAGCTCCCTCTCAGACACTGCTTTAAATTAAAACACACACACACACGAGCAGCTGAAGACCTGAGTCACCAATGGTCTACATTAAATTTCTGCAACTGAAAGTCAGGCAGGTATTCAAGCACTCTGGGAGCCTGTTAGAAATACAGATGCCCAGGTCCCCCACCCGAGACCAACTCAGGCAGAAGCAGCATTTTTACCAAAGCTCAGGGCATCCGTATGCCCCTTAATGTTTGAAAGGTCTGAATCAGAGTGCTCTCCCCCAAAGGCATCTCAGACTGAGATAGAAATTGAAGAAAAAGCCTAAGGAGGTTCAGCAACTTTTTCAAGGCCGAAGAACCCACCAGTTACACAAGTGCAGAGCCCTTTGTCCCTGACATTCAGAGCCCTGCATGCATAGGAAGTGACAGCCCCTTCCGGGGCACCCTGCTGCCGCCACGCGCATTCTGGAAACTGTGCAGCAGGAGAAACAGCGTTTTCCTTCAGACCGGGGTTTAAATGGCACTTCCCGAATTTATATTCCCCTAGATTTGGGGCTTCTTCCTTCTTGCACTCCTGTTAACATCAGCATGAATTCATAAACTCCCTGCAGCGGAAAGGAAAAGAAGCCGCGACAAACCTCAACGAAGAGCCGTACGGCACTGTTAACCAAGTGCTCCAGTCCTGCCCCAGTGTTTACAGGAAATTGGTTCCAGGACCCCCAAAGACACCCAAATCCACAGATCCTCAAGTTTCTGATAGCAAATAGTGTGGTAAATACCTACATATAACCTACACACACCCTCCCATATACTTTAAATTGTCTCTTGTAGATTACTTGTAATACCTAATACAACATAAATGCTATGTAAAGAGTTGTTGGCCAGGCACAGTGGCTCACGCCTGTAATCCAAGCACTTTGGGAGGCTGAGGCAAGCAGATCACGAGGTCAGGAGTTCGAGACCAGCCTAACCAACATGGTGAAACCCAATCTCTACTAAAAATACAAAAATTAGCCGGGCATGGTGGCGCATGCCTGTAATTTCAGCTACTCAGGAGGCTGAGGCAGGAGAATCACTTGAACCCAGGAAGCAGAGGTTGCAGTGAGCTGAGATTGTGCCACTACACTCCAGCCTGGGCGACAGAGTGAGACTCCGCCTCAAAAAAAAAAAAAAGATTTGTTATGCTGGATTGTTTAGGGAACAATGACAAGAAAAAAATATCTGTACGTGTTCAGTACAGCTGAAACTTTTTTTCCCGAATATTTTTGATCTGAGTTTGGTTGAATCCACAGTTGGGGAACCCGTGGATGTGGAGGGCCAGCTGGATAGCTGCTCCTGGCAGTGAGGCTCTCTGATCCAGACTTTCAAGGTTCACCCTGAGAACTACAGTAAGATACATGAGAGAGTCCTGAATGAGGAGTCGAAAGACCTCGTCCTCGTAGCAGCGACTCTGGCACCCACCAACCATGTGGCTTTCACCTAATTATCATCCATTCTGCATTTTTGCCTCCTTAACTGTAGAGAGGTTGTGGAACTACAGAATCTATAAAGGCCAGCTGTCACAATCAATACTTTACAAGTGCCCACAATATTTTACAATAACTTTGACCATTGATTTATAAACAATTATAACCAAACATTAGGACTGGAACAATTTGCCCACCTGAGAAATAACAAGACATTTATCTCACATGAAAATGGACACCAAATACCTTACCTTCGTGTTTATTTTATGAAATACAAAATCTGAGCATATATTAATAATGAGCTATTTTTTTCTTTTTTCTTTTTTTTTTGAGATGGAGTCTTGCTCTTTTGCCCAGGCTGGAGTGCAGTGGCACAATCTCGGCTCACTGCAATCTCCGCTTCCCGGGTTCATGCTATTCTCCTGCCTCAGCCTCCCGAGTAGCTAGGACTACAGGCACCCACCACCACACCCAGCTACTTTTTTGTATTTTTAGTAGAGACGGGGTTTCACCGTGTTAACCAGGATGGTCTCGATCTCCCGACCTCATGATCTGTCTGCCTCAGCCTCCCAAAGTGCTAGGATTACAGGCGTGAGCCACTGTGCCCGGCCTAATGAGCTATTTTCAATTAAAATACCTCTTTATCGTTAATCAGACAAAAGAGTACAATGTCAGCCTACTCTGAGAGCATTAAGAAATCTTTTTCCTGAAAGGCAATTGAGACAATTCAGAAGTTAACTAAGTAACTGATGGAAAGAGGGAGTACAATGGAATCAATTGCCCACTCAGTCCTTTCATATAAAAGTTGGTTTAAACAATCATAACATATAGCCGATGACGACAAATTTGTTTATTCTGTTTCTCTTCACTCGACCTCTTTTGGTCACTGGATCTTGGACAATCATGAAAGCAGCTGCCACTTTCTCATTCCTTTAAGAAGCTGGAAATGTAAAGCTTGTTTAACTTTTCAAGTCAGGAGCCAAAAAGTCACAATCACCTTCCCCTGTTTGAAATTGGAAATGCTGGCTGGCTACTTTTTTTTTAGAAACTAGGAAGTGAAGGGTAGAGAGAGAAATGTGAAACTCAGGATCATGTCAGTACATGCCACATAATGCTCTGCCTACGGAAAAACCTGCTGACTTAGAGAAATCGCTCCCTCCCAAAAATGTGATTAGCAGGGATCCTCTCTTAAAATAAAACAATGTCCCTTATATCTTCAGCATCTTAGTCGATAACCATTTGTTTTCATATCTGTTTCAGAAATATCAATAGTGAATGGCTAAAAACATTATTTAAGAAAAACAATCATTTTCTGCTATATAACTCAGATTTGAAAACAGAATAAAATGTAATAAAACAAAGAAGCTAAGAACAAAGGCAGAGATACCTCATCTCGCCCGGACCCACTGTAAAAATAATGTTGCAATTTAAATTAAATTATAATTAATAGCAGCAGTTTTGTTGAAGTGTCTCAAATTATTACTTTAGATGCTGAAACTCCAGTGGTTTCCATGGAGATATTTTCTCTAGGAGATGTCAGATATGATCTAATTTTTTTGTCTCTGATATATGACAACCTGAAGCTTCCAGAGCCTTTCATTTTGGGGGGTTTTATGTTAGATATTTCAATTTATTTTTATATGCACTTCAATATGTTTTGTTTGCAATTGGTTTCTGAGCCTAAATATTTTGAAACTTAGTAAATAAGAACCACAACCACCAAATTTATCTTCTGTAGTTAAAAAAAAAAAAAAACTTTACTCTCTCCTTATTCACTAGGACAGACAAACATACTTCTCCTTGGGTGAGGAGCATAGTAGTGCATATGTGTGTGGGCGCTAAAGCCTTAGCCAGGATGTTTACTAAGTACGTTCCTGGGAGAAGACTCTCCCATCATCAATTCCTCCAGCAATATGTCCTGCCTGGCCTGTGCTTGGTGGAGGAGGGGAGGAGAGCTAATCTCTGAGTGGTGCAATGGAAACATGGTCTACAAATATAGGAACACGGATGACTACACACAAGGGCACGTGCAAGGGAAATATGCAGAAATATGTGGGCTTTTATAAGACTCTAAATCAGACTGGAATGGCACCATGCTTTGGTGGTTAACATGGAGTGTCATTTGGGGATCCGCAAGAGAAGTATGTTGAATAGAGTCTGTGCTTATTTGATGAAAGACTGGTCTTGAGAATGTTATAGCTAGTCTGTTTTAAATTAACACGCCAAATTTGGACCTACTCACTGTTTCCCAAAGTATAGGTTCCTTGATACTCCAACACCACTAAAATTGTTCAGCTCTCCCAGCAAGCTGGGTGAGGGGAACGTGGATGTTAGCAGTAGAATAGGTGAGCTTTATTATCCATGTCTCAGTCATGTTTCTTGGTCTCCGTTTTTCTCTGTGCGCATTTCCAAGAGGATGTTTGTTCCCAGGGGAAAGGTCAGTGGCAATAAAATGTATCTATCAAAATAGCAATTGTGTTGATCGCCAGAATAAAATGGCTTTGCCTCAAGGGGGTAAGCACTCACATGCATTAGGACAACCAGGCTTACAGCATAAATAAATCCAGGAAAATAGGAGTGCTCACACTAAACAAACAAAAGATTTTGCCCTTGAAATGTATAAGGATTCCTGACCTGAGGATTTTCTACAAGTTATTTTCTAACAATAACCAAAGTCCAGCGGACTAGGAGTCACTAATATATTTTCTATATTCAATATGTCCATCTCCTTTGTTAGGAAGAATAAGAAACCTGCCTCACTGTAAGGATTTAGTTGAGACTAGGCATCTGACTTTCAAAATTCTACCTGCATAGAAGGTTTTGTTATCAGAAGAAGCTACCGATGTTTACATACCTCTTAATCAACTGATTTTAATTATGCCAGCCAATGAACATCCATTTAGCCCTTGCTACTGCATTGTTAGTCACTGGAACTGCAAACATGATTAAGATTGGTCTCTGACTTGAAGAGGATGACTGTCATGTAAGAAGTCACAAGAATTAAGATTATTCCCATTGAGAAAAGGGACACACAGTCTGAGGTCGCTGAGGATACTTTCAGGAAAGTGGTAAGATCTGATGGACAAAGAAAAGGATAGTAAACCAGATGTCCAGACAGAGTGCCATATGGCAGAGAAAAGGTGTGTCAACTGGAGGCATCAGGAACTCCTATGAGACGGGAGAGTTCCCTAGACCCCTTCACTGGACTTGCAACAGGGTACAGCTCACTCAAACCTTTTGCGGGACGGCGAGCACACAGGCAAGTGGGTGCCACCGCTGGGGTGAACGCTTTTGGTCTCCAGCCCCACAGCAGCATCTAGGGGTATGTTACAATTAATGCTGTTTTAACAGTTACTGTCTGGGGATGGCTAAGTGTTAACCAGCTCATTGGAGACAGGGTGACAGACTTTTACCCCCTGCCCTCTTGGTACCCAGGTCCTTGTCTGGCATCCAGGAAGAATCAGGTCACACAGTTTTATTGAGTGATGGAGGTGGCTCTCAGTGGGATGGGGAGCTGGAAAGGGATGAAATGGGAAGATAATTCTCTTCAGTCATCCTCAGCGAAACTGCTTTCCAACTGTCCAGTTACCTCTTCAACATTCAGATGCTGCTTCTCCTCTTGATGTTCAGCCGCTTGTTCTCTTCTCTCCTCTGCCACACTGCTCTGCTCCTCTGCCAGTGGAGCTTGGGGTTTTTATGGTTACAGGACTGGGGGGCATGGCAGGCCAGGCTGGTTTTGGAAAAAGCAGCATTTGGGTGGGAAAACAGGGCTGTGAATTTCTCATTTAGGGCTGTGGGCTCAGGTTTGTGTGTGGAACCCTTGCCAGGGACTCCACCCTCTTCTACCCAGTATTTCCCTGCCTCCTGTCCATATCACCTATACCTAGAATGTTGAGTTGGAAAAGTGACCCCAGGAAGGAAGGGGCAGGAGAGAAATCCAGCTCAAGGGAGTCTTTCTTCCCTATGCCAAGGAGTTCAGATTTACACCCAAAACAATCGTGGAATATTTTTAAATGTTCCTCCCTAGCTCTTGTCATTCTCCTTGCGTCATCTCAGGTAACTCCTTCCACTATCTCCGTATGTTCTGCTACTGTTTTTATCCGTAACCTCAAGGGAACCAGATTACCATTGTAATTTTTTTTTTTTTTTTTTTTTTTTTTGAGACGGAGTCTCGCTCTGTCGCCAGGGTGGAGTGCAGTGGTGCAATCTCGGCTCGCTACAACCTCCGCCTCCCAGGTTCAAGCGGTTCAAGCAATTCTCCTGCTTCAGCCTCCTGAGTAGCTGGGACTACAGGCACGTGCCACCATGCACAGCTAATTTTTTTTTTTTTTTTTTTTTTTTTTTTTTTTTGAGACAGTCTCGCTCTGTCACCAGGCTGGAGTGCAGTGGCACGATCTCAGCTCACTGCAACCTCTGCCTCCCAGGTTCAAGTGATTCTCCTGCCTCAGCCTCCCGAGTAGCTGGGACTACAGGCGCACGCCATCATGCCCAGCTAATTTTTGTATTTTTAGTAGAGACGGGGTTTCACCATGTTGGCCAGGATGGTCTCGATCTCTTGACCTCATGATCCACTTGCCTTGGACTCACCGTGCCTGGCCTACCATTGTAATTTTTTATCACTATATTTAATATATTTCGAAGGTACATATTATTTAAAGAAGGTCGGCCGGGCGCGGTGGCTCACGCCTGTAATCCCAGCACTTTAAGAGGCCAAGACCGGCAGATCACGAGGTCAGGAGATCGAGACCATCTTGGATAACACGGTGAAACCCCGTTTCTACTAAAAATACAAAAAATTAGCCGGGCATGTTGGCGGGCGCCTGTAGTCCCAGCTACTCGGGAGGCTGAGGCAGGAGAATGGCGTGAACCCAGGAGGCAGAGCTTGCAGTGAGCTGAGATCGCGCCACTGCACTCCAACCTGGGGGACACAGCGAGACTCCATCTCAAAAAATAAAGAAAGAAAGAAGGTCATGACGGGGCAGGGGATAAGGGAAGACAAAGAAAAAGGAGGTCAGGAAATTTCTGCGTTTATCAAAAGGAGACAGGAAATATCACTCACTCACAAAGTATCCAAATATCTAGTAAATATCTCCACCTGGGTGCCCCATTAGCACCTCCAACTCAATATGTCCAATACAAAACTAATTAATTCCTCATCACCTAAAAGGGCTCCTCCTCCCATAGTCCCAACCCAAGCCAAACTGTCTGCAAGCTGGGACTTCCTCAACCCTTCAACTCCTTGTCCCTTTCTAGCCTTCAAAAGGCAGGGTAGAGAAGATTGTTGACTTTGGAACGAACCCTACACCTGGGTTCTAATTTTAACTAGACTATTCACAAGCTTGGTGACTTTCTAGAAGGATATGGACTAAATAGTGTCCAGAGAAGAGTAATTATAATGTCAAAAGGTCTGGAAAAGATGGGCAGTAACGGTGCAAGTTTTCATTCCTGAAAAATAGCTTTTGGTCTTTGAAGGGTGGCTTATGCCAGGGAATTGTATACATTCATAACCAAATCTTCCTGTGCTTATGGTTTATGGGTAGCATGACTTATCAGGCAATTTACTGTAAATGGACAAGTTCATAACTGAAACCACATCCATGCTTCAGTATATAATCTAAAGACTATATAAACCAAACTCTTCAAGGATGCGTAGAATAAACAGACCATGTCGGACCAAGAAGTTCTCATTAGCTAAAGAACTTTATTCTTTGTCTATTTTATTGTTCACTGTATATCCTCAGCACTTGGAAAGAAGTCTGACATATAGTAGGCATTCTATAAAGATTTAGTGAATAAGTAAATGAATAAATTTGAAGAGAAGATTCAGGTTTAAAAAAGAAAGCCAAGGTTTTTATTCAAGGTTTTTATTATATGTTTTTATATAAACCAGTTTTATTCCCACGGGATAATTTTAGGACTAATCTTATATCTGATGATAAGCCTAATAAATGAAAGATCTTTGCATTCTTGGGCTGACATTTGGGATTGGGAATATTAATCCACACTACCTACCCCAGAAAATCCTGAAGGGAAATGGGAAAGTGAGCTGATGAGAAAGTAGCTGACTACACTGTACTACATGTTGGCTCTCCCCATTTCCCTGCCTAGCTAACTGGATTTAGGATTGGACCAATTGGCCGGGCATGGTGGCTCACACCTGTAATCCCAGCACTTTGAAAGGCCAAGGTGGGAGGATCGTTTGAGCCCAGGAATTCAAGACCAGCTTGGGCAACATAGGGAAACCCCATCTCTACAAAAAATAAAAAAATTTGCCAGGTGTGATAGTGCATGGCTGTGGTCCCAGCTACTCAGGAGTCTGAGGCAGGAGGAACACTTGAGCCTGGGAGGTCCAGGCTGCAGTGAGCCATGATTGTGCCACTGCACTCCAGCCTGGTCAACACAGCAAGACCAAATCTTAAAAAAAAAAAAAAAAAAAAAAGGATTGAGCCAGTTAAAACAAGCAAAAACCATCAGTGGTCTCTTTTGCATCCCCCAGTTAAAGACTTGGGGAATATGAAATCCTTGAATACCCAAGAGTTAAGTTCACTTTCATTTGTAGCTTGCTTAGTGTCTGTGCTTTTACTCAGTCAACTGATAGTTGAGATAATTTGGAATATATATACGTATCTATCTAAAAAGTATAATTTTCCTGGTCCTAAACAAGAATATCAAGTCTGGCCAGGTGCAGTGGCTCATGCCTGTAATTGCAGCATTTTGGGAGGCCAGGGTGAGTGGATAACTTGAGATCAGGAGTTTGAGACCAGGCTGGCTAACATGGTGAAACCCTGTCTCTACTAAAAATACAAAAATTAGCCAGGCATGGTGGCAGGTGCCTGTAATCCCAGCTACTTGGGAGGCTGAGGCAGGAGAAACACCTGAGCCTGCAAGGCAGCAGTTGCAGCAAGCCAAGATCACACCACTGCACTCACTCCAGCCTGGACAACAGAGTGAGACCCTTTCCCCACACTGCCCCCGCCCCACACACACACAAAAAAAGAATATCAAGTCTAAAAGAGAAAGGATTAAATCACATGTGTTGAAAGAATCTGGAATCTCCCTTTTTGGTTGCCATATTTCCAAGAGAAGAGGAGGAAAAAGGGCTCTACCTGCTTTTCATCATTATCCCGGATAATCTTGGAAGTCCATAGCCCAGGAATAAATTAGTGTTAGAAAACGGAGTATGTAGCAATGTTCTCCCTGAATCATAACATAAACCTGTTTGCCTGGTGTGTACACATTTCATTGTACCAAATAAGTACTTCTAAATTCTTTTTACATTTAACTGGTGCCATCCAGTAGCCAGAGCTTGCTTTAGACTAAGGTGACCTGCTTCTGTTGGAAGATTTACCTTAACTTCTCCAACAGAAGACCAACAAATGTGAATTGTTTCTGAAGTTGGATTAGGTCCTATGGATGACAGAAGATAGTCTGCCGACTTGCAGATGGACTTCGGGATCTATTTGCCTTTACCGGGCTTAAAATTTGTTTTATCTTAGAGAAATACCTAAATTTAACACAACTGATTCTTACGTTTATAATAGGGAAAGAAATAGAAAATTCACTAGGCAGTTAATATTCTTAACTGTTTTGAATTATTACCCCCTTACAAATTCCTAAAGTGTGCCAGTGTCTTATTACAGCCATGAAAAATACAAGTTTAAAGGAATGATTCCTTTTTAAACTTTTTAATACTGTAGCTGTAAAAAGCTCATCTACAAATACATTGAATGCCACCAGTTGTGCATGGGGTTAAAAGTGGATGGGAAGCAGATTTCAACCAAATGTAAGAAACATATTCAAATGCATAAACTCGTCTGTCTGTGGAACTAGAGCAGGCCAGCTCAGGTAGCTCTAGGATTCTCTAATATTGCTCCAAGTGGGAAGTCGTGTTTACCTAGGCCTTGTGCAAAGAGAAACAGCAGGAACAGGGATGGAGGCTGTTGTGATTCTTGTGGGAGACAATGGCAAGACGGGTCCATCTGAAATGGAGATTTCATTTGGGAAAACAGGAAGTGTTGAAGAGTTGCATGAAGAAATAGGTATCAAATTATTTGGGATCAATAGTATACTTGACTCTGACACTTGACTCTTTCTTTCTCTACAGCCAGTGCGGATTTTCCATATAATCCAGGACAAGGCCAAGCTATAAGAAATGGAGTCAACAGAAACTCGGCTATCATTGGAGGTAGGTGATGTCTAGAGGAGGCTTATATGGGGCTACTCAACTATGGAAAGTAATAGTTGTCAATAACATAGTAGTCTAGGAAAAAAAGTTTTCTAGGTTTTTACATTATTCATTTTGCTGTTTAAAGATTATGACATATGATGTGAAGAAATATAGTAAATATAGCCGGGCACAGTGGCTCACCTCTGTTATCCTAGCACTTTGGGAGGCCGAGGTGGGCAGATCACCTGAGGTCAGGAATTCGAGACCAGCCTAGCCAACATGGCAAAACCCCATATCTACTAAAAATACAAAAATTAGCTGGGCGCGGTGGCTCACGCCTGTAATCCCAGCACTTTGGGAGGCCGAGGCGGGCGGATCACAAGGTCAGGAGATCGAGACCATCTTGGCTAACACGGTGAAACCCCGTCTCTACTAAAAATACAAAAAATTAGCCGGGCGCAGTGGCGGGCGCCTGTAGTCCCAGCTACTCAGGAGGCTGAGGCAGGAGAATGGCGTGAACCTGGGAGGCGGAGCTTGCAGTGAGCCAAGATTGTGCCACTGCAATCCGGCCTGGGCTAAAGAGCGGGACTCCGTCTCAAAAAAAAAAAAAAAAAAGAAAGAAAGAAAGAATATAGTAAATGTAACCTGGCTACTTTTTAATGCTGGCTTGTAAAAAACAAATAGCAGTGGAAAGCTGGACAGACTCAGAATAATTAAGTAGGTAGTAGTGACCATAGCCAGGACATTTCTTTATCCCCCTCGGATATTTTTCAGTCTTATCCTTTCGCATCCAAAATGGTCCAGGATAGCGTACTATAAAAAAATGAAAAGGAATGCTGGGTGCAGTGACTTACGCCTGTAATCCCAGCACTTCGGGAGGCCGAGGCAGGTGGATCATTTGAGGTCAGGAGTTCAAGACCAGCCTGGCCAACATGGTGAAACCCCATCTCTAAAAATACAAAAGTTAGCCAGGCGTGGTGGCGCATTCCTGTAATCCCAGCTACTCGGGAGCCTGAGACAAGAGAATTGCTTGAGCCTGGGAGGTAGAGGTTGCAGTGAGCTGAGATCACACCACTGTACTCCAGTCTAGGTGACAGATTGAGACCTTTCTCAAAAAAAAAAAAAAAAAAAAAATACGAAAAGGGAAATGCCAGTCTGATTTCAGTTATCATAATAAAAATTATCAGAAAATCACTGGAGGTCATTATTTTAAGTGAAATAAGCTAGGCACAAAAAGACAAATATTGCATATTCTCACTGATACACAGGAGCTAAAAGATTTACACACATGGAGGTAGAAAGAAAAACACGTAACAGAGATTGGGAAAGTTGAGCAGGAGGAGGAAGGAGAATGAAGAGAAGTGGGTTACAGGGTGCAAACATACAGTAAGAAAGATAAAAGGAACAAGTTCCGGGTTTGCTAGCAGGGTAGGATGACTATATCTAACAAAAATGTACTGTACTTGGTTGATGAACCCCTAAATACTATGACTTGACCACTATTCCTTATATACGTGTAACAAATTTTCTCATGTACCCCGTAAATTTGCACAATGAAAATAATAAAAACTAAAAATGTATCAGAAGATTTAACAAGCTGTAGCATCTAAAATATTCCAGTGTTTTCTTCTCACCATGGACAGCTACATAATAATTTGACTCTCCTCGGATAGCCACTGAGCCTCATGCGTAGATCGATATTGACATCCCTGTTACCATTAAGATCCCAATCCTCACTGTCTTTTGCTTTTTTAAATGAACTTAATTGAAGTATAATACGCATCTATAAGTGTAACAAGTCCGTAACTTTTATTTATTATTATTTTTTGAGACAGAGTCTCACTTTCTGTTGCCCAGGCTGGAGTGCAGTGGCGTGATCTCAGTTCACTGCAATCTCTGCCTCCCGGGTTCAAGCGATTCTCCTGCTTCAGCCTCCTGAGTAGCTGGAACTACAGGCACGCATCACCATGCCTGGCTAATTTTTGTATTTTTAGTAGAGACAGGATTGTACCATGTTGGCCAGGCTGGTCTCCAACTCCTGACCTCAAGTGATCCACTCGCCTCAGCCTCCCAAAGTGCTGGGATTATAGGTGTGAGCCACCGTGCCCGGCCCCAATCTTTTTTATAGTTTGTGGTTGGTTTGTCCTATCTAAAAAGTCTGCCTACCCAAAGGTTTTGAAGATTTTCAGCTTTCTTCTAGAAGTTGTATCACTTTATCATTTGCCATCAGGTCTTTAATCACTTCGAGTTAATGTTTATAAATGGTGTGAGAGAAGAGTCAACGTCAGTATTTTCCAAATGAATATCTAGTCATTCCAAGACCATTTGTTGAAAAAAAAAAAACTATACTTTTCCTCAATTGAATTTTCTTGGCACTTTTGTTAAAGCAACTGACATATGTGTGTGTGTGTGTGTGTGTCTATTTTCTGGGCTTTTTGTTTTGTTGGTCTATATATATCTTTCCTTAGCCAATATCATGCTTGCTTTATTGTTGTATCTTTTTTTGTTGAGATGGGAGTCTTGCTTTGTTGCCAGGCTGGAGTACAGTGGCGCGATCTCGGCTCATGCAACCTCCGACTCCCTGGCTCAAGCGATTCTCCTGCCTCAACCTCCCGAGTAGCTGGGATTACAGGCACGCACCACCATGTCCAGCTAATTTTTGTATTTTAGTAGAGACAGGGTTTCACCATGTTGGCCAGGATGGTCTCAATCTCCTGACCTTGTGATCCACCCACCTCGGCCTGCAAAACTGGTAGGATTACAGGTGTGAGCCATCGCTCCCGGCCTGTTGTATCTTTATACTAAGTCTTGAAATAAACAATGTAAGTTCTCTAATCCTGGCCAGGCGCGGTGGCGCACGCCTGTAATCCCAGCACTTTGAGAGGCCAAGACAGGTTCATTAGAACATCTTAACGATATTTAGTATTTCTATCTTTACATGGTGTATCTATACGTTTATTTGTCTCATCAGTTTCTCTCAGCAACGTATTGTGGTTTTCAATGCGAAGTCTTGAACAGCTTACTATTTCATTAATTTCATTTTCTAAGTGTCTCTCTCTGGCATATAAAAGTATAATTGATCTTTTATATCAGCCTTGCCTTCTGTGACCTTGCTAAATTTGCTGTTAGTTCTAATAACTTTTTTTGTATATTCCTCAGAATTGTCTACCTAGACAAGCATTTTATCTGAGAATAATGAGATTTTTTTACTTGTTTCTTTCCAGTCTATATCCTTTTGTTGTTTCATTGCACCGGGTAGGATTTTCAGTACAAAAGTGAATAAATATTGAGATTTGACAATTTTGCATTGTTCCCTATGTTAGGGGAATGTGTTTGATCTTTCACTATGAAATAGGATATTGGCCGTAGGTTTCCAACAGATGTCCTTTATCAGATTGAGAAAGTTTCTTCTACTCATAGTTTACTGAAAGCTGTTTGATGAATGGGTATTGGAAGTTTTCCAAATGCTTTTTCCACATCTATTTAGATGATCATATTGTTTTACTCCTTATTTGCTTAATGTGGTAAATCACATTGCTTTATTTTTTAATGTTAAACCAAACTTGCATTCCTAGGATTAACATTATCATAATACATGATCTTTTTTACATATTGCTGGGTTTGATTTGCTAAAATTCTATTTAAAAGAATATTGTGGCCAGGCGTAGCAGCTCACGCCTATAATCCCAGCACTTTGGGAGGCCGAGGCAGGTGGATTACCTGAGGTCAGGAGTTCAGGACCAGCCTAGCCAACACAGTGAAACCCCGTCTCTACTAAAAATATAAAAATCAGCTGGGCGTACTGGTGGGCGCCTGTAAGCCCAGCTACTCGGGAGGCTGAGACAGGAGAATTGCTTGAACCTGGGAGGCTGAGGTTACAGTAAGCCCAGATCGTGCCATTGCACTCCAGCCTGGGCAACAAGAGTGAAACTCCGTCTCAAAAAAAAAATATATATATATATATATATATATATATATATATATATATATATATTGCTCCATAGTTTTCTTGTAACATTTTTCTGGTTTTAGTGTCAGGATAATGCTGGTCTCATAAAATGAATTGAGTAGTGTTTTCTCCTCCTATATTTTAAGAAAGATGTGTAGGATTGGTCTAATATCATTAGGTAATGCTTGTTAGTAGTATTGTTCGAGTCTTTTAAATTTTTGCTGATTTTCTGTTCAATTGTTCTATCAGTTACTGACAGAACAGTGTTAAAAAATCTCCAACTATAATTGCAAATTGGTCTAATTGTCCTACCAGTTCTGCCCGTTTTTGCTTCATTTATTTTGTACTTAGGTTAGATTTATACACATTAGGAACATTATGTCTTCCTGATGAATTCACCCTTTTGTCATTATGAAATGTTCTTCATTTCTACTAACAACCTTGTCCTTTGTCTCATATTAACGTAGCTATTCCAGCTTATGATTATTGTTTGCATATCTTTTCCCACCCTTTTACTGTTGACCTGTATTTAAAGTTCATGTCTTGTAGATATCATATAGTAGGCATCTTTTTTATCCACTGTCTCTACTTTTTAATTGGAGTGTTTAGATCAGTTATATTTACTTCTGTTTTATCTAATCTGTATTATTTCATCCAGTATTTTTTTCTTTTTCCATTTTTTTTTTTTAGACAGAGTCCCCCCCCCCCCCCTCACACAAGCTGGAGTGCAGTGGCACGATCTTGGCTCACTGCAGCCTCCGCCTCCCAGGTTCAAGCGATTCTCACGCCTCAGCATCTTGGCTAGCTGGGATCACAGGAGCGTGCCACCATGCCTGGCTGATTTTTGTACTTTTAGTATAAAAGACCGGGTTTCACCATGTTGCCCAGGCTGGTCTTAAACTCCTGACCTCAAGTAATCCGCCCGCCTCAGCCTCCCAAAGTGCTGGGATTACAGGCGCGAGCCACTGCTCATTTCAGACATTGTGTGTTTCACCTCTACAAGTTCCACGTTGTCTCATTTTTTTTCCCCTCATTTTGATCATGTTTTCCTTTAAACCCCTGTGCAGGTTTCTAATAGCTATTGTACTGTCCTCATCTGCTCATTCCATGCTCTGTCCTTTCTGTTTCTAATAGCTATTGTACTGTCCTCATCTGCTCATTCCATGCTCTGTCCTTTCTGGCTCTCCTTCTAATTGACTGATGTTTCTTCTGGTCAAGTGACATTTTGCTACATTTTTTTTCTCTGAATTATTTTTCTCTGCAGCTTGACGTTATTTAGATGTGTTTTAAAGCTTTTTCAGGACAGAGCTAGAGTAGTCTTTATTCTAGGCCTATTTTAGCAAACACCTTCAGCATGACCATTCTATCAACTGTATTAAATGCTCTGATTGTTCAATGAGGTCTCTTCAGTGTGGTTGTTGGACTATAAACATCTCCCAGCCCTCCGTGAGCTCTGGTTTTTTGCCTGGCCTGTGGACTTTTATTCTGTACATGCACATGTTAGTATTATTCGGCCACAAATTCAGAGAGACTTATGTGCAGATTATTAGGGTTCTTTCTATACATAGCTCTCTCGCGCGCCCACTCTATCTCCCCTCTCCATTCAGGGAAACCACTGTGCTTTCTTGTGCTGCCCCTCCCTACACTGCTGTCCAAAAATCGCTGCCAGCCAGAAAACTAGGAAAAATGTAGGATTCCTCCTTTTTGTTTCTCTGTTCTCAGACATCATGGTTCCTTTCTGCCTGTTTTCTAATGTCTGTAGACTGTCATTTCATAGACTGTGTCCAGTATTTTAGTTACTTTTGGCTGGAAGACAAGTTACTCCTGTTTTTCCTGTTACTCCTTCATGGACAAAAACAGACATCTTACTTCATTTTTGTTATCTTTGTTGTTTTGGAGGTTGTGTTTTATATGGGAGAGGGCTGTGTCTGACGGAGCTGTAGTGAAGTGGGGACAGTGTTGGAGGGACTCCCAAGCCCTGTCTAACCTCTCGTGCTTCTCCTTTCTCCGTCAGGCGTCATTGCTGTGGTGATTTTCACCATCCTGTGCACCCTGGTCTTCCTGATCCGGTACATGTTCCGCCACAAGGGCACCTACCATACCAACGAAGCAAAGGGGGCGGAGTCGGCAGAGAGCGCGGACGCCGCCATCATGAACAACGACCCCAACTTCACAGAGACCATTGATGAAAGCAAAAAGGAATGGCTCATTTGAGGGGTGGCTACTTGGCTATGGGATAGGGAGGAGGGAATTACTAGGGAGGAGAGAAAGGGACAAAAGCACCCTGCTTCATACTCTTGAGCACATCCTTAAAATATCAGCACAAGTTGGGGGAGGCAGGCAATGGAATATAATGGAATATTCTTGAGACTGATCACAAAAAAAAAAACCTTTTTAATATTTCTTTATAGCTGAGTTTTCCCTTCTGTATCAAAACAAAATAATACAAAAAATGCTTTTAGAGTTTAAGCAATGGTTGAAATTTGTAGGTACTATCTGTCTTATTTTGTGTGTGTTTAGAGGTGTTCTAAAGACCCGTGGTAACAGGGCAAGTTTTCTACGTTTTTAAGAGCCCTTAGAACGTGGGTATTTTTTTTCTTGAGAAAAGCTAATGCACCTACAGATGGCCCCCAACATTCTCTTCCTTTTGCTTCTAGTCAACCTTAATGGGCTGTTACAGAAACTAGTTCGTGTTTATATACTATTTCCTTTGATGTCCTATAAGTCGGAAAAGAAAGGGGCAAAGAGAACCTATTATTTGCCAGTTTTTAAGCAGAGCTCAATCTATGCCAGCTCTCTGGCATCTGGGGTTCCTGACTGATACCAGCAGTTGAAGGAAGAGAGTGCATGGCACCTGGTGTGTAACGACACAATCAGCACAACTGGAGAGAGGCATTAAAGAACCAGGGAAGGTAGTTTGATTTTTCATTGAATTCTACAAGCTAATATTGTTCCACGTATGTAGTCTTAGACCAATAGCTGTAACTATCAGCTGCAATACCATGGTGACCAGCTGTTACAAAAGATTTTTTCCTGTTTTATCTGAAACATACTGGATTTATATATGTATAAGCGCCTCAATGGGGAATTAGAGCCAGATGTTATGATTTGTTTGCTCTTTTTCTTTTATAGTTTAGTTATAGCAAAAATATGGATAATTTCTAGTGAATGCATAAATTAGGTTGCGTTTCTTATTTTGCTTTAAATCTCTGGTAGTTTTTCCACCCCTGTGACACAATCCTAATAGACAGTGTCCTGTAAATGGACACAACACAATAAAGTCAAGTTATTATTGCTGTTACTCTGGATGATATGGAAAACACTGCCATATTTTAAATCAACTACTCCACGTGTTTTTCCATCCAATCACACTGCTGTGATTCAGGGATCTTTCTTCTAAGACGGACACATTTGAACCTCAGGTTCATCACAAACCTGGTACCTGTTGCTTCCCAGAGGATGGAGAAGTGTAGTTAATCACACCTCTTAGTTTAATCTGAAATCTTGACCCAGTTATTTAACAAATAAATACCTCATTGATTATATTTAAAAGTAATACACTTCCTGTAAACAAATGGGGACAATGCATCCAAAAAATCTTTTTAAACAGATTACACAAAAATTATTTCCAGAAAGGCTACCATTTATCATCATTATATTTCAAGCCTCTTATACTTAATAAGCACTTTCTAAAAAGTCTTGAGATCCCACCATTCTGAGGAATTCAATATGATCACTTTTTCCTTCTTTGCCTGGGAGAGGTTAAGAGGAGGTTTCGAAGGTATAGATGCTATTGTTCTGATGGCCCGGCTGAATAAAATGGAAATTCTAGTTTGTTAGAATTATGCATTCTTTTTCAAGATTCTCAGTGTGCCTAACTTATTGGAGCACATCAGTTTCTTGGGTAATGGAAAACATTACCTAGAGTTGCCAGTGGCACATTACACCAGTACAGAGCACATTCCAAAGGAGACATTGGACCAGTTAATTCCCATACAAGTCAAGGTAACAGAACAAAAGGGAATCCTGATGCCCTTTTACCATTGCTGGTTGAGCTCAGGCACTGTCATGGACACCCTTAATTTTAAAAGGTTTTAATCATTCTTCTATAAAATACATTTAAAATGGAAAAATACTTAATATCACTAAATATCAGAACAATGTAACATTTACAAATGACATATTGAAAGCAAAGGCTGTTTTATTTAGCCAAGATGATTACCATTAGGAGTTACTTTATGTATTGTTGAAAGCAAATTTTAAACATGATGTTTTAGAAGTGTTTCTGATTTTTAAACCTGGTTTACAGGTATTACTTCTGCACTTACCAAATAATGCCAGATGGAAATTTATTATTTCTTGCAATTCCCATGATAGCTCTGTTCTTTATGCATTGTCTCAACACTTTCCCTTTTTTCCCAAAATGAGTAGAGAATTAAAGCCACCCAAAACAGCTTCTGCTACTAAAATGTTCTCATCCTTTCTCCTCCCTCTCCTTTTCCTGCCACAAAAGGTGAAAAATGAGATCCAATCCTCTCACCAAAATTTCAAACCTAGGACACTGGAATGACTGCAGGGATCAGTGGTTCTCCCATATCACCATCAATTAAGACATATAGGACACTGTCTTCCTTCAAGAGGGTTACAATGTGGCCATCAGACAGGAAACCAAACGGTGGATAAAGTATTAAGTAACTAAGTGCCAAATAAATGCTGGAAATCTTGACCTCTCCTTGGGATTATGGGTGTAACAAAAATCCCTACATCTGTTTATGAAGGCCATATTCAGTACATTTTAAATGGTAAATAATCTGTTTATGTGAAGAAAAAGAATTAAGTCTTTCTTCCAACTCTCTCCTTGGATAGCCTAGCACAGTGCAGCCTCCATAACCATGACATTCCCGCCCAAGCTCTCAGTGCCTAATCCTGCTTTGTCATTCACATCTCACAAAATCTTGACATCTTACATTCCAATACATTATCAAGCAAGCACAAGTATGCTGGTAGTAGCCTCTTTAAATAATATGTATAGACAACAACAACGACAAAAAATAGACTGTTTTAAAGTTTCAGGGAAAGTTGGTGGCTGATTTAAAGTTGTGCAGGAAACATCTTCTGTGTATGAAGCAAATGTCGATGTTTTGAAAAAAGCTAGGAGATGACTTTGAATGAATGCAAGGTTAGTGAGATCCTAAGCTCTCAAAATAGCATATTCCCTAGAGCTCAAGAAAGCTGGTCCAGGAGGTTGAAAAAGCTATTTTGTTGTTAAATTATTTTCTGGCCCTTCTTAATATTTAAAAATGTATTTCCCCTTGTGGCTTTCAACCACCTGCTCAAAAAAAGAGACTTGTTACATGAAAGTTTTCATTAAAGAGCTGAAAACAAGAATTTAGAGAGCCATTCCTAGAAAATGTCCTACTGCCCTGCATTTGACAAACAAGCATCCTTTACTAACAAGAGCAGGAATTCAGAGGCACAAGAAAAAGCATTGGCATGAGCCAAAGAGTCTGTCTTAATGTTACTTTTGAAAATCTGCTGAGCGGCCACCATATGCAGGCTGAGAGCTGGGCACAGGCGAAGCCATTGGAAGCACTTCAGGAACAAGCACACAGCTGTGGGACTTGAACATGCAAGTGTTCAGGTTGTGTCAAGAAGCTTTTCTTTCCTTCTATGATGGAATCTGTTCTTTTCTATCCTACTTTTTTCTCTCTTCCTCTCCTCACCACATTATACCCTGCTCTTACGCAGTAAACGTTTTAATGGCCCGTTTATGTCTCATGCCTCCAAACAACACTGAATTTGAAACCCCCCATTTTTTCTTTTCACCACCCTGTTGAGCAATTTTCCCAAAAAAAGGGCAGCAATTATTAAATTGAATTCAAGTAAGCCAGCCAAAGATAGGTCCTAAATTGCTAGTCCCAGTAGAACCACCTGATCCTAAACCAGTGCGAAACAAACAGTAACAATGTCCCCAGCTGACTTCAGCTAAGAACCAATGGCTCCTACCCCCGCCCCGCTTTTTTTTGTTGTTTTTTGTTTTGTTTTGAGACGGAGTCTTGCTCTGTCCCCCAGGCTGGAGTGCACTGGCGCAATCTCGGGCTCACTGCAACCTCCTCCTCCTCCCACATTGAGGCGATTCTCCTGCCTCAGCCTCCCAAGTAGCTGGGATTACAGGCACCCGCCATCACACCCAGCTAATTTTTTTTTTTTTTTGTATTATTAGTAGAAGCCAGGTTTCACCATGTTGGCCAGGGTGGTCTCGAACTCCTGACCTCAAGTGATCCGTCCACCTCGGCCTTGCAAATTGCTGGGATTACAGGTGTGAGCCACCGTGCCGAGCCAGCCCCATTTTTTAAATGATGTTTTGGTTAAGAGTGGACCATGAGAATTAGCTGACAGCATCCCCTTTCTCTCTCCCTGCCTTGGTGGGACCCTCCCTGTGTGACCTTGGTCAAGTCCTCGAACTTTTGTCCCGTATTTAAGATGGAGCTGTTTTACCTACTTCATAAGACAGTTGCGAGGTGCCATTGATTCTTGACTGCAAAATACCTTGAAACCCTTATATAAAGACTGAAGTCAACGGAGCCTAGTGAAAGACTTACTTTGTGGCTTGTGGTTGAAAGTCACATCAAAAGACAAATGTGGCCACGTTCAGGAATTGGAGACTTACTGGCATGGCTCTACAGCTGCTCAGTTATTAATCATGCAGACTAACCTGTCAACACTGGGAGATGCAACATAGCAAAAGGACAGAGAAATTAGAATTTTTTGTGCAGAAAGCCCTAAATTCCCACCTGAATGTAACTTACAGCTCCCTTACCTACTCTCACACATGCCCTCAAACATGCTAGATTGGCTTATACATAGGCCAACACAAAATACAAACGTGACGTGTTCATGTAGCCTAGTGGCTATATGCCTATTCTCCATGTACCCTGCATGGTAGTGCTGCAAACTTTAAAGTACATTTCTTTCACAGCAGTATTTTTTTTCATAAGTGGCATATAAATGTCATTCAATGAAATGGGGAAATCACGTTGAGAAGTTGGTCTGTCATCTCCCATTGAGCAAAGACTGGCAGGAGATAATAAAAATAAATATGGGCACACATGTATTAATATACAGCACGCATTTACAAGTTTATTTTCCAGATAAAATTGTGCTATAAGAACAGCTCTACCAAGACAGTCTGCACCATTTCCAAGTCTCAGTTAATTTACAGCAACTGCTGCTTTCGGAGATGGCTGTGAAAATATGGAAGTTCCTCTCAAGTAGGCCAAGAAACAGTTCTAGATTTTACTAAGTTTTATTTTGTCAGGTTTTTTAAATTTTTTCAGTGAGCGTGGTGACTGCAGAGGTTAGTGCTGTGAAAAGCTGGGCTAAATATTCTTTCTGTAAAGTCAAACAGGATTCCATCCCCTGTGAAATAACACAAAATTTCACTCTCTAAAAGCAACAGCATGTAAACTAGAATGAAAGAAGGAAATTATGTACGTATGCCTAATATTCTTTGTGAATGTCTTTCATTTAACTAAAATTATATTAGAAACCAGATTGATAAATAAAAAATTCAAAGTAGTTTTAATTATCCTAAAAGCGATTCTTCGTGTTTTGTACCACTTGTCTCTCTTAAGAGCAATTTTCAACCTTCAGCAAAAGTTAAGTTCCAAGCACTGAAATATAAGCCTACTGAGAATATCGTCTTTCCACAAGTTGTGGAGATATAGTCACTCCTAAAAGGTCTGATTTGGGTACGTCCATGGTTAACCTCCTACCACAAATAGCTCCCCGTTAAAAGAGGAGTTTTTCTTAAAGTGGCTTAGTAGACATTGACTTTGGTTAGTTTACACCCATCTTGATAAAATGTGGTTCGAGTTCAGTTATCTCCAGAATATATTCTGATCCTTATTTGGAATGAGGGAGTAACACTGGATAGTGGGCACATGGATCCAAGCCAGGGAACTAGACAGCAAGGACTCGGCATGCATCGGAGGTGCGAAGCTTCCTAAATGCACTCCGTGTGCTTTTAGAGCTAAGTTATTACTCTCACTTGCTAGTTGTTCTGCAGCGAGCAGCTCTATGCAAACCACCCCTGCAAACCAAGGAAGCTGAGAGGCCAAAGAAAGAGGCTGAGAATTCCAATTTCTCAGAAAGAAACATTTCATAGGGAATTACAAACAGAGGCCATGTCTCAGGCAGCCACTAGACAGATGATGAATGCCTGCACTGTTACCCCCCCATGCCCCCCACACCCTGGACCCAGGGCTTATCCACCATAGGGAAAGGGTCTACAGACTTAAGAAGGGATGTGTAAGACAATTGCTTAAGGGTAGGGTTTACAGTAAGTATGATAACATCAGAGTTGTTTTGACCTAAGGGTGGGATTTATGGTTAAGTACATGCCTTTACATAAGGAATCACAGAGAAAATAAAAACCTTAGAGGCATTCCTGGAGGAACTGGAGTTAATCAGAACTCAACATAGCAGATTCACATTCAAGATGAAGTTGCTTAGCCTCCACACTGGTCTTCAATGACCATGACTATTGGGAAGCCATTTCCTTTTAATCAATTCTCAGTGAGGCATCTAAACGTATACCAAATAAATGTGAATTCCAGTTAAAAGCCCAAGTCCTCTGTTCTTCAGCAATCCCCAAGGCCAATCAATAGCAATTGCACTGCAGTATGTTCAGAAAGCATCAAGCGTCAAAAAGATTGGTCATGAATGCTTCGCGAATGTGATCCAACAGGTACAGAGAGAATGTCATCAAGTCCCTTGAGAAAAGAAAATCTGCACCATGAAAGTTCTTAACAAATTTTAAAAAGATGAGTCAGCAAGTTGAGGGTTTAACATCGCCAACAAAAGGTTTTGGCCACAATATGCTGACTTCCTTTCTCTGTCCCAGCAACAATAAACTCTGTATACATACATATGTTCCAGGAGGATAGCAACTTTCTTTTGTACAAATAAACGCCCTTCATATCCATGGGTTCCTCATGCAGATTCAACTGACCTCAGATCAAAAATAGTCAAAAAAGTTTAAATTAACAATGCAAAAAAATACAAATTAAAAGAGTACAAGTGATTCTCAATTTATGATGGAATTGGTTACATGCTGATAAACACATCATAAATTGAAAATATTGTAAGCAGAAGTGTGTTTTCCACTTAAGATATTTTTTATTTACCCTGGGTTTATCCGGGTCATAGCCCCATCCAAGTCAAGAAATATACTGAATGTGTATCACTTTTACATCATCATAAAATCAAGAAACCATAAGCCAAACCATCATAAATCAGGGACCTTCTGTATACTATATACATAGCATTTACATTGTATCAGGTATTATAAGTAATCTAGAGATTATTTAAATTAGATGGGAGGATGTATCTAGGTTATATGCAAATATGTACCATTTTATATAAGGGACGTGAGCATCCATGGATTTTGGTATCTGCAGGGAGTCCTGGAACCAATTCCCCATGGATACTGAGGGACAACTGTATTTGTTTAATTAATGGGTGTGGGGGAGCAGAGACGGGTAGGAGAGGAGGTTATAGGAAACTCACGGTCTTTGCAACTGGCAGACCAAGAGACTGCCCCTGGTGCCTATGCCACCAGGGCCCTGGGTTTCAAGTAGGAAGTTATATTGAAGAAAATATGTCTAGTTTTACACTTTGCCAGTTACAACATGGCATAACAGACAACAAAGTATAGAAAAGAGGAAATAACTGGGCTATTTTTCAAGAAGGGGTTCATATCCTCCCAAATTAACTCAGGTACAAAAGCTAACTCTTTAAAGAAAGTATTATGTGAGTAACCATTAGCATGTGTTTACCTTTTTTTGGTCACTTTGAAAACCATGAGCTGAATAATCCCTGCACCTGAAGATTTTGTTCTACCAGCAACCCCCTCTTGTTCAAACACACCCAACATGCTACAAAGGACCACTGCTCAAAGCAGTTTTGCCACAAAAAAATGCAAGTTTTCTTTTCTCATCATGTTTTCATGATCTTTCCATTCATCTTACTTCATCTTCTGGATAGATGGTAAGTAAATAAGTCTCTGGGGACAGGAACTAAACTCTATGCCAAGTCTTCACCAAAAGAAAATAACAAATAGCTTATCTTTTTCAGTTCTCTGACCTAACATGAGAAAGTCATTTCTTTTAAAAATATAAATGTAAAATTATAAGATTTAAATTAAAACCTGACAGGTGAAACTCAGAGATGAACTTATTTTGTATTCACAAATTGAAATTTGCAAGATAAAATTCTTAAGTCTAGGAAGGCTAAAATGGGATACAGGGGCAACCTTTTAAGTCATGAAAGATGTAGAGAGGGAAAGTGCAAGCTTGCTCCCTAAGACCTCAGGGCAAAGAGCAACCTTTGAAGCCAGAAAGAAGGCACATTTAGGACAAATAAAGGAAAAAAACACTCCAAAGAGCACCTAGTATGATTTGTTGCAGGTTAAAAAAATTAAATACAGACTTTTTATATATAAATATATATATACAAGCATGCATATATCTTCCCAAAATGACTGAGATTACTTCAATAATTACCCTAACATATGGATTTCAAAGGGGAATCAAGACTATGGAATTCATTTCATAAATATTTATGGAGTATCCCCTACGTGCTTGGCACCATTCAAGACTCTAGGAATTGACTAGAAAACAAGACAGGCGCATCCCTTCCAGTTAACAGGAACAGAAAACCAAATACCACAGTTTCACTTATAAGTAGGAGCTAAATGATGAGAACATATGGACACACAGAGGGGAACAACACACACTGGGTACCTTTAGAGGGTGGAGGGTGGGAGGAGGGAGAGGATCAGGAAAAATAACTAATGGGTACTAGGCTTAATACCTGGGTGATGAAATAATCTGTGCAACAAACCTCCATGACACAAGTTTATCCATGTAACAAACCTGCACTTGTACCCCTGAACTTAAAATATAAGTCAAAAGGATTTGCTGGCAAGATGACCGAATAGGCACAGCTCCAGTCTGCAGCTCCCAGTGAGATCAAAGCAGAAGACGGGTGGTTTTTGCATTTCCAACTGCAATTCCAACTGAGGTACCTGGTTCATCTCATTGGGACTGGTTGGACAGTGAGTGCAGCCCACAGAGGGTGAGCCAGAGCAGGGTGTGGCATCGCCTCACCCAGGAAGCACAAGGGGTGGGGGATCTCCCTCCCCCAGCCAAGGGAAGCCATAAGAGGCTATACTGGGAGGAATGGTGCACTCTGGCCCAGATACTGTGCTTTTCCCATGATCTTCACAACTGGCAGACCAGGAGATTCCCTCTGGTTCCTAAGCCACCAGGGGCCCTGGGTTTTAAGCACAAAACTGGGCAGCCATTTGGGCAGATACCAAGCTAGTTGCAGTTTTTTGTTTGTTTGTTTTGTTTTTCATACTCCAGTGGCACCTGGAACACCAGTGAGACAGAACCATTAACTCCCCCGGAAATGGGGCTAAAGACAAGGAGCCAAGTAGTCTGGCTCAGCAGGTCCCACCCCCGTGGAACCCAGCAAGCTAAGGTCCACTGGCTTGAAATTCTTGCTGCTAACACATCAGTCTGAGGTTGACCTGGGACGCTCAAGCTTGGTGGTGGGAAGGGCGTCCGCCATTGCTGAAGCTTGAGTAGGCAGTTTTACCCTCACAGTGTAAAAAAAGTCACCGTAAAGTTTGAACTGGGTGGAGCCCACTGTGGCTCAGCAAGTCCGTTGCAGCCAGACTGCCTCTCTAATTCCTTCTCTCTGGGCAGGGCATCTCTGAAAAAAAGGCAGCAGCCCCAGTCAGGGACTTACAGATAAAACCCCCATCTCCCTGGAACAGAGCACCCGGGGGAAAGGGCAGCTGTGGGCACAGCTTCAGCAGACTTAAATGTCCCTGACTGACAGCTCTAAAGAGAGCAGTGGATCTCCCAGCACAGTGTTCAAGCTCTGCTAAGGGACAGGCTGCCTCCTCAAGTGGGTCCCTGACACTTATGTATCCTGACTGGGAGACACCTCCCAGTAGGGGCCGACAGACACTTCATACAGGAGTGCTCTGGCTGGCATCTGGAGGGTGCCCCTCTGGGACAAAGCTTCCAGAGGAAGGAACAGGCAGCAGTCTTTGCTGTTCTGCAGCTTCCACTGGTGATACCCAGGCAAACAGGGTCTGGAGTGGACCTCCAGCAAACTGCAGCAGACCTGCAGTAGAGGGGCCTGACTGCTAGAAGGAAAACTAACAAACAGAAGGAATAGTATCAACATCAACAAAAAGGATGTCTACTCAAGAGACCCCATCCGAAGGTCACCAACATCAAAGATGAAAGGTAGATAAATCTTCAAAGATGGGGAGAAACCAGCATAAAAAGGCTGAAAATTCAAAAAACAAGAACGCCTCTTCTCCAAAGGATCACAGCTCCTCGCCAGCAAAGGAAAAAAAGTGGATGGAGAATAAATTTGACGAATTGACAGAAGTAGGCTTCAGAAGGTGGGCAACAACAAATTCCTCCGAGCTAAAGGAGCAAGTTCTAACCCAATGCAAGGAAGCTAAGAACCTTGAACAAAGGTTAGACGAATTGCTAACTAAAATAACCAGTTTAGAGAAGAACATAAATGACCTGATGCAGCTGAAAAACACAACACAAGAGCTTCGTGAAGCATACACAAGTATCAAAAGCCGAATCGATCAAGCAAAAGAAAGGATATCAGAGATTGAAGGTCAACTCAATAAAATTAAGCGAGAAGACAAGATGAGAGAAAAAAGAATGAAAAGAAATGAACAAAGCCTCCAAGAAATATGGGACTATGTGAAAAGACCAAACCTACTGAGAGGTGACAGCGTGCTGGCAGTCCTCACAGCCCTCGCTCGCTCTCAGCACCTCCTCTGCCTGGGCTCCCACTTTGGCGGCACTTGAGGAGCCCTTCAGCCCACCGCTGCACTGTGGGAGCCCCTTTCTGGGCTGGCCAAAGCCGGAGCCGGCTCCCTCAGCTTGCAGGGAGGTGTGGAGGGAGAGGTGCAAGCGGGAACCGGGGCTGCGCACGGCGCTTGCAGGCCAGCTGGAGTTCTGGGTGGGCGTGGGCTTGGCAGCCCCGCACTCGGAGCAGCCAGCCGGCCCTGCCGGCCCCGGGCAATGAGGGGCTTAGCACCCGGGCCAGCAGCTGCGGAGGGTATACTGGGTCCCCCAGCAGAGCCGGCCCACCGGCGCTGCGCTCGATTTCTCACTGGGCCTTAGCTGCCTTCCCGTGGGGCAGGGCTCAGGACCTGCGGCCCACCATGCCTGAGCCTCCCACCCCCTCCGTGGGCTCCTGTGCAGCCCGAGCCTCCCCAACGAGCACTGCCCCCTGCTGTACGGCACCCAGTCCCATTGACCACCCAAGGGCTGAGGAGTGCAGGCACACGGCGCGGGACTGGCAGGCAGCTCCACCTGCAGCCCCAGTGCGGGATCCACTGGGTGAAGCCAGCTGGGCTCCTGAGTCTGGTGGGGACCTGGAGAACCTTTATGTCTAGCTCAGGGATTGTAAATCCACCAACTGCACTCTGTATCTAGCTCAAGGTTTGTAAACACACCAATCAGCACCCTGTGTCTAGCTCAGGGTTTGTGAATATACCAATCGACACTCTGTATCTAGCTACTCTGGTGGGGCCTTGGAGAGCCTTTGTGTGGACACTCTGTATCTAGCTAATCTGGTGGGGTCGTGGAGAACCTTTGTGTCTAGCTCAGGGATTGTAAACGCACCAATCAGCGCCCTGTCGAAACAGACCACTGGGCTCTACCAATCAGCAGGATGTGGGTGGGGCCAGATAAGAGAATAAAAGCAGGCTGCCCGAGCCAGCATTGGCAACCCGCTCGGGTCCCCTTCCACACCGTGGAAGCTTTGTTCTTTCGCTCTTTGCAATAAATCTTGCTACTGCTCACTCTTTGGGTCCACACTGCCTTTATGAGCTGTAACACTCACCGCGAAGGTCTGCAGCTTCACTCCTGAGCCAGCGAGACCACGAACCCACCAGAAGGAAGAAACTCCGAACACATCTGAACATCAGAAGGGACAAACTCCAGATGCACCATCTTAAGAGCTGTAACACTCACCGTGAGGGTCCGCAGCTTCGTTCTTGAAGTCAGTGAGACCAAGAACCCACAAATTCTGGACACACTATGTTTGATTGGTGTACCTGAAAGTGACAGGGAGAATGGAACCAAGTTGGAAAACACTCTTCAGGATATTATCCAGGACAACTTCCCCAACCAAGCAAGACAGGCCAACATTCAAATTCAGGAAATACAGAGACCACCACAAAGATACTCCTGGAGAAGAGCAACCCCAAGACACATATCATCAGTTTCACCAAAGTTGAAATGAAGGAAAAAATGTTAATGGCAACTACAGAGAAAGGTTAGGTTACCCACAAAGGGAAGACCATCAGACTAACAGCGGATCTCTCAGCAGAAACCCTACAGGCCAGAAGAGAGTGGGGGCCAATATTCAACATTCTTAAAGAAAAGAATTTTCAACCCAGAATTTCATATCCAGTCAAACTAAGCTTCGTAAGCAAAGGAAAAATAAAATCCTTTACAGACAAGCAAATGCTGAGAGATTTTGTCACCACCAGGCCTGCCTTACAAGAGCTCCTGAAGGAAGCACTAAACATGGAAATGAAAACTAGTACCACCCACTGCAAAAACATACCAAATTGTAAAGACCATCTGTGCAATGAAGAAACTGCATCAACTAATGGGCAAAATAACCAGCTAGCATCATAATGACAGGATCAAATTCACACATAACAACATTAACCTTAAATGTAAATGAGCTAAATGCCCCATTTAAAAGACACAGACTGGCAAATAGGATAAAGAGTCAAGACCATTGTGGGCCAGGTGCAGTGGCTCATGCCTGTAATCCCAGCACTTTGGGAGGTCAAGGAGGGTGGATCACAAGGTCAGGAGATCAAGACCATTCTGGCTAACATGGTGAAACCCCGTCTTTACTAAAAAACACACACACAAAAAAAAATAGCCAGGCGTGGTGGCAGGTGCCTGTAGTCCCAGCTACTCAGGAGGCTGAAGCAGGAGAATGGCATGAACCCGGGAGGCAGAGCTTGCAGTGAGCCGAGATCACGCCACTGCACTCCAACCTGGGTGACAGAGCGAAATTCCATCTCAAAAAAAAAAAAAAAAAAAAAAAGACCCATCAGTGTGCTGTATTCAGGAGACCCATCTCATGCAAAGAAAAACATAGGCTCAAAATAAAGGGATAGAGGAATATTTACCAAGCAAATGGAAAGCAAACAAGCAGGATTTGCAATCCTAGTCTCTGTTTAAACAGACTTTAAACCAACAAAGATCAAAAGAGACGAAGAAGGGCATTACACATAACGGTAATGGGATCAATGAAACAAGAAGAGCTAACTATCCTAAATACATATGCACCCAATACAGGAGCACGCAGATTCATAAAGCAAGTTCTTAGAGGCCTACAAAAACACTTAGACTCCCACACAGTAATATTGGGAGACTTTAGCACCCCACTGTCAATATTAGATCAATGAGACAGAAAATTAATAAGGATATCCAGGACTTGAACCCAGCTCTGGACCAAGCAGACCTAATAGACATCTACAGAACTCTCCACTCCAAATCAACAGAATACACGTTCTTCTCAGCACCACGTCGCACTTATTCTAAAACTGACCACATAATTGGAAGTAAAACACTCCTCAGCAAATGCAAAGGAATGGAACTCATAACAAACAGTCTTTCAGACCAAAGCGCAATCAAATGAGAACTCAGGATTAAGAAACTGACTCAAAACCACACAATGACATGGAAACTGAACAACCTGCTCCTGAATGACTACTGGGTAAATAACGAAATGAAGGCAGAAATAAAGATGGTCTTTGAAACCAATGAGAACAAAGACACAATGTACCAGAATCTCTGGGACACATTTAAAGCAGTGTGTAGAGGGAAATGTATAACACTAAATGGTCACAAGAGAAAGCAGGAAAGATCTAAAATCGACACCCTAACATCACAATTAAAAGAACTAGGGAAAGCCAGGCACGGTGACTGACACCTGTAATCCCAGCACTTTGGGAGGCCAAAGTGGGTAGATTGCCTGAGGTCAGGAGTTCAAGACCAGCCTGGCCAACATGGTGAAACCCCGTCTCTACTAAAAATACAAAAATTAGCTAGGCGTGGTGGCACACACCTGTAATCCCAGCTACTCAGGAGTCTGAGAAAGGAGAATTGCTTGAGCCTGGGAGGCAGAGGTTGCAGTGAGCCGAGATTGTGCCACTGCACTCCAGCCTGGCCAACAGAGCAAGACTCTGTCTCAAAAAAAAAAAAAAAAAAAAAAGAAGAAGAACTAGAGAAGCAAGAGCAAACAAATTCAGAAGCTAGCAGAAGACAACAAATAACTAAGGTCAGAGCAGAACTGAAGGAGATAGACACGAAAAATCCTTCAAAAAATATGAATCCACGAGCTGGTTTTTTGAAAAGATCAACAAAATAGACCGCTAGCCAGACTAATAAAGAAGAAAAGAGAGGCCGGGCGAGGTGGCTCACGCCTGTAATCCCAGCACTTTGGGAGGCTGAGGTGGGCGGATCATGAGGTCAGGAGATCGAGACCATCCTGGCTAACACAGTGAAACCCCATCTCTACTAAAAATACAAAAAATTAGCCAGGCATGGTGGCAGGCGCCTGTAGTCCCAGCTACTCTGGAGGCTGAGGCAGGAAAATGGTGTGAACCCAAGAGGTGGAGCTTGCAGTGAGCCGAGATCATGCCACTGCACTCCAGCCTAGGCAATAGAGCGAGACTCCGTCTCAAAAAAAAAAAAAAAAATTTACAAGAAAAAAACAATGCCATAAAAAAGTGGGCAAAGGATATGAACAGACACTTCTCAAAAGAAGACATTTATGCAGCCAACAGACATATGAGAAAAGCTCATCATCACTGGTCATCAAAGAAATGTAAATAAAAACCATGATGGGATACCATCTCATGCCAGTTAGAATGGTGATCATTAAAAAGTCAGGAAACCACAGATGCTGGAGAGGATGTGGAGAAACAGGAAGACTCTTACACTGTTGGTGGGAGTGTAAATTAGTTCAACCACTGTGGAAGACAGTGTGGTGATTCCTCAAGGATCTAGAACTAGAAATACCATTTGACCCAGCAACCCCATTACTGGGTATATACCTAAAGGATTATAAATCATTCTACTATAAAGACACAGGCACACATGTTTATTGCAGCACTGTTCACAACAGCAAAGACTTGGAATCAACCCACATGCCCATCAATGATAGACTGGATAAAGAAAATGTGGCACATATACAACATGGAATACTATGCAGCCATAAAAAAGGATGAGTTCATGTTCTATGTGGCACATATACAACATGGAATACTATGCAGCCATAAAAAAGGATGAGTTCATGTTCTATGTGGCACATATACAACATGGAATACTATGCAGCCATAAAAAAGGATGAGTTCGTGTTCTTTGCAGGGACATGGACAAAGCTGGAAACCATCATTCTCAGCAAACTAACTCAGGAACAGAAAACCAAACACCACATGTTCTCACTCGTAAGTGGGAGTTAAACAATGAGAACACATGGACACAGGGGTGGGGGGCATCACACACCGGGGCCTCTCAGGGTTGGGAGCTGGGGGAGGGATAGCATTAGAAGAAATACCTAATGTAGATGACTGGGTGATGGCTGCAGCAAACCACCATGGCACGTGTATACCTATGTAACAAACCTGCACGTTCTGCACATGTACCCCAGAACTTAATGTATAACTATATATATATGTTAAAAAATAAAATAAAATTCCAGTTAAAAGCCCAGCTCCTCTGTTCTTCAGCAATCCCCAAGGCCAATCAAAAGGCAGTGTAGGCTGGGCGCGGTGGCTCATGCCTGTAATCCCAGCACTTTGGGAGCCTGAGGTGGATGGATCACTTGATGTAAAGAGCTTGAGAACAGCCTGGACAACCTGGTGAAACCCCGTCTCTACCAAAAACAAACAAACAAAAAATTAGCCGAGCATGGTTGTGGGCTCCTGTAATCCCAGCTACTCTGCTACTCTGGAGGCTGGGGCACGAGAATCACTTGAACCTGGGAGGCGGAGGTTGCAGTGAGCTAAGATCGCGCTACTGCACTCCAGCCTGGGCGACAGAGTGAGACTCTGTCTCAAGAAAACAAAAAGGTTGGGGGGCAGTGTAGGAGCTGATTAAAATCAGCTTGGTTGAGGGGCACGAGTGAGGGAAATCCATCCAGACTCCAAACCACAGGATCCCTGCTCTGCAGCAGGACTTCCTCCTGCCTTGAACTCACCAGGAACTGCACCTGTCCTCCTGAGGGATCATGGCTAACACCTCCAGGGGAAAATGAGCTCACAGAGGGAAAAGGAAACACCAGGCATTTGGGAAAGATAACTGCTAGAAATGAAACATATTGAGCAGCCAGTACTTGAACTGGCATTATGGGGACAGATGCAAAAATCTAAACAAGTTTAAAAATATCGTCCCAGAAGAAAAAATATTCAACAAAGCAAGAAACAGCAGTTGTAAAGAACAATCAGATAAAACACTAAAAACTATAGCTGAAAGAAACTCAAAAGATACAAAATGTGCACAGCTGAATAATTATTGTACAGTCTATGATAAGTGTTGGTGGAGAATGTGGGGATAGTGAACTCCCTGTTGCTCTTTGGGAGGGAAAGTAAATGGGGTATAACCATTGAGGAAATTCATGCGGCAGTAGTAAGTAGAATTTTATAGAGAGAGACACATATGCACACATAAACACACCCGCATACACACACACACACATGCATACATATGTTGCAACTTAATGAACCCACTGCTGGGTAAAAGTCATGTTCGAGGCTGCTCACCTCGGTGGTGAGTGTAGCAGTGATTTGAATGTAAGTACAGCATCACAGTTTTTTTTTTTTTTTTTTTTTTTTTTGAGACAGAGTCTCGCTCTGTCACCCAGGCTGGAGTGCAGTGGTGCAATCTCGGCTCACTGCAACCTCCACCTCCCGGGTTCAAGCCATCCTCCTGCCTCAGCCTCCCAAGTAGCTGGGATTACAGGCAACCGCCAGCACGCCCAGCTAATTTTTGTATTTTTAATAGAGACGGGGTTTCACCATATTGGTTAGGCTGGTCTTGAACTCCTGAACTCGGGTGATCCACCCACCTCGGCCTCCCAAAGTGATGGAGTTACAGGCATGAGCCACCACATCTAGCCAGCATCACAGTTTTTGAAACTCTGCACTACCACTTACTAGCTTCTTGATCTTTTTTGGCTTTATTTTTTCTGCAAAATGGGGATAATGATGTAACTTACCACGTCGGGTTATTGTAAAGATTAAATTAGTCAATACCTATAAAGTGCTTAGAACAGTGCCTGACATAGTAAGCGCTCCATAAATTATAGCTTTAAAACAATCTTTTTTAATGAACAGAAACCCAACCCTAGGGTAATTCCCCAGAGAAGTTCCTGCAAAGGTCCATAAGGGGAAAGGTATGAGACACACATAGGACTGTCAGTGATAACCGGGAGTTGTAGACACCCAAGGTTTATGTAAAATAAGGTAGACACGTGCTATGCAAAATCATACAGAGGTCAGAAGCCATTATAATAAAGTAGATACATACACAGCAATATTAAATCTTCTATCTTAAAAATACAGTACAAAGTGAATAAACCAAGAAACAAAAAGTCATAAAATAATGTAAATTATTAAAAGTTAAAAACGTACACAGAACTATAGATACCTGAAAAATTTAGGATATGTATATGTACATATCCTTCTGAAATATGTTATATATAAAATAAAATATAGTCATTATCTAGAGGGGAGAAGGAATGGGAGTGGGGTTGAGATATAAATAAAATAAAGCAAGAGAGACCTTGCATAGCCTATTGATAAAATGCCATATTCTGAAAAGTATCATCAACTCAACTCCTAGCCCCTTAGGGGAACTGAGAGAGAGAGAAAGAGAGAGCACAAGAGAGAATACAAGAGGCTGGTTGCAGGTAGCACAACTAAATCAGGAATGCAAAGGGTAGAGGCATGGCTGTATGGCAGGAAATGTAACAGCTAATACAGTCAATCAATCAATCAATATTAGTAAGTGGGCAAAGACAATGTGAAAGGAGAGCTTGCAGTACAGCATTTCTGTTCGTTTAAATGCAATAATGTTCCTCATATTACAGAACTGAAGGAAATTAAAGGACAAAGGTCAGAGGCTTTCCCTCCCATTCTGCAAAGTAACACACACCAAACCCTTTTCAAGGATGTGGAGCAGAAATGACACCTCACTACCCCTGAATGCAGTTTCAGAGAAGCTATCTCTACTCTGAACTGGCCTGAACGTGACTTTGCTAGAGTTTGACTTCTAATTCATGGATGGAATAACTTACAATAAATGTGAAATAATTTTTTTAACTAGGGTTGATATGAGATTTAAAATTGCTGTATATATCTAGTTTATTACTTCTGACTTCTGTATGGCTGTCCACAGCCTTCTGCTGGTTTTTCTGAAGCTGGGCCAGGGGGCAGATGTCACCTATTATATACCTCATTGTAAATTAAATGTTCCTGGTTAAATCACAGATCTTGCTAGAAGCACGCCCTGGGCTTTGTCAAAAATACAAGGAGCTGCTAGAATATATTTCTGAGTGATCAAGTTATAACTCCCCTAAATTAAATTTACAGTAGAGCTTATTCACTTTTATTCCAAGCAGTAACCATGGCACTCGCGTTAAATCATTACAAGTGCAGCAGATATATTGATTACTGCCAGGCCTGTCATTACCAATCTCAGTTTACGCACGCTGCAGCGAACTGTAAAGTTTAATTAGTATCCCCGTCTGGTGTTGTAAAACACAAGTCTGGACATATGGGAAAGAAAGATGAGTTAATGTGAATCATCTTGAAAACATGAAACCAGCAGACAGAGCAAAGCAGATAGCTGAACTTGTTCTGAATCAAAGTTATTTGCCTTGACATCTGTGCTGCATTATGCAATTGGGTTGGGAGAAAATATTCACTTAATCTTCTCAAGAAGACAACTATTATTCTGCGACGATTGAGGAGGAGGAGCAAATAGCAGCCATTGGGTCATGCGACAAAGTGACTCGGAAACACGTGGATTGCTGCATTGGCCATCTCTAGACACAGTCACGAACAGAAGCTCTGAGGGACAGGGCCCTGTAGAAACCAACCGGCTGTCCTCCATGCCACCAACTCTAAAAAGGGGTGAGGTTGACACCTCAGGTGTATCACTGGCACTCTTTGGGACCCTATGCTCTTAAGTCTATCACCAAAACACCAGGGGTTCCGTCTAGGTCCTGCTGTTCCCTGCACAGAAAGCCAATCACTGAGATGACCATTCTTGCCAAGGAAGAAGGCGATAATCAGGTGCTACAGCTGAGGAAATGAGAGATCAATCTCTCTGACCACTAAAATTAGGAGTTTATATAGCAGGGAAGAAATGTAACAACGTACATAATTTCCTGGCCTCCTCCAGCCCAGCATCCTTCCCTCCACCTGGCCTCAGCAGCTCCTTCCATAGGTTTCTTCCGTAGCAGGGAAGAAATGTAACAATGTATGAGAAAACAGGAACTCAGTAAAGAAGCAATCATGATGAATGAGAGGCCTGGAGTCTTACTGCATGCAAAGATCTGGTGAGTTTCAGTTCTCTGATACTTTTTCAGAGGCCTGGGGGTCCTTTCCTGAGGAAAGACCTCAGATAAATATTAAGTTTCAGGCTTTAAGACCAAGAGGGTCAATTTCTATGTTAAATAAGTAAATAAATGTGTAGAACTACTGGGTCAGTTTCAAGTCCTTCATAAATTAATCCAAACTTTAAAAAATGTAATCATATTTCCTGTTCTTACCACCTTTAGGATTCACAAGAATTATGTCCTCTTCTTGGGGAACGGAATTCGCTTAGCTTTCACAGTGACCAGCCAGCACAAGGGGAGGGGAACTGGATGGCACCGAAGAATGTCCCACCAAAGTTCCATGCAGAATGCTCAGCCTGACATCTCCAGCCCCAGGCACCCTCTCTGCCTCCCTCCCTCCCTCTGCAGGAGCCGTAACTTCAAGGTGAAGGGGATGTCCTCACCACGTCCTGATCCCCACTGTGGACCCACTCAGTCAACTCCTCTCACCTGATCCATTCTCCCCGGATGCCCGCTGCTTCTCAGCCTTTCAGCAGAGCCCTGAAAGCAACCCTCTAATCACTGAGCCCTCTGTCAGTGTTCTCTAAGCCTGCCTGGCCCTTTGCTTATTGGCTTTTCCTCATCGTGACCACCTGTGCAGGATCTTCACTTCCCCAGCACCTGCAGCCCCGGACCAGGAAGGCCCAGCCCTTCTGGGCTCTGCCTTTCGCCTTTTCCAAACTTCCCATCTCCCACAGCCCTGCTTGCTCCTCCACTGGAGCCCCAGCTACCAGTCTTCCTTGATGCTAACCAGGCCTGGGTAGAACTTGCAGAGCCCAGTCCAAAATAAACAAGTGACTGACAAGAACGGGGAAGTCGATCTCCCCTTCCCAGGGCCTGCCTCCCAAACCCACACGGACAGAGAACCAAAGGGACTGCAACCTCTGCACCCATGCACTTGGCACTTAGATGAGGGGATGAGCAAGAACCCTCACCAGGTTCCTGCAAGCACACCAGGAAGAGCCAGCATGGGGAGGGGGTGGCCATCACCTACCCTCACCCGGAGATGCCACACCCAGCACACCTGGCTCCACTGTTTCCACTCCTGCACTCAGTCCCCCATGGGGCAGAGAGCGAAGGCAAAACACAGAAACACAGACATCACGCCTCTACCACATATCCTGTCGCAGACTCAGGCTGAGGACAGCCAGGATCCCAGGGCAGGTGGCCAGGGGGAGCTGGGTCAGACTCAGGCACAGGAGGCAGCTAGGAACAGTCCTTGAGAGGCCCTGGGAGGCAGACAGTGCAGGAACAGAGACTCCAAGCCCCAGGCATGCTCCACTGCCCATTGGACCTTCCTTGCAAAACACATGCTCTAAGATAAAATTAGGATTTCAGGGGGCAAGCATGAAAACTCTGGGCTCAGTGGCCCACACAGACCAACCTGAAGATGATGCCAACTCACCCACCTCATAATTTCCTGGCCTCCTCCAGTTCAGCATCCTTCCCTCCACCTGGCCTCTGCAGCTTCTTCCGTAGGTTTTGCTCTGGACCCTGTCAACCTGAGGGGAGAGCCACAGCTCAAGGCAGAATCCTGAGTTTAGAGGCTCCACCCAGCCAGGCGAGGTGGAGGTATAGAGTTCCACTTACTGTGGTGGCTGAGGCCTGAGGCAGGAGTGAAACGGGAGAGTTCTCTGAACCTCTCGCGGGACTTGCAACAAGGGTGTGGCCTGTTTGCTTGGCCACCATGTACTCAAACCCCTTACAAGAGGGGGAAACATGCAGACAGACAGGTGCAGGAGCTGGGATGAGTGCTTTTGGGCTCCAGCCGCATAGTAGTGAAACAGGAAAAGTTCCCTTGTCCCCCTCACAGGGCGTGTGACAGGGGAGTGGCTTGCTTCTTCAGTGCCCCACTGCTCAAACCTCTAGGGGAGCATACAGACGGGCAGGTTGTGGGGCTGCAACCTCATGGCAGTGTGTAGGGGTGAGTGTTTATAGCTCCTAAAGCCCCAGTGGGCATGTGTTACAGGGCGCTTTTTTAATTTAGCCATCTGCAGGTGGCTTGTGTTAGCTCAATTAGACTCTCTTCCTTATCACAAGGACAGAGGGATTTCTGTATCCCGGAGTTTCTTACCTTGGTGTACTGGAAGAACTGGATCGCATGTGGGCTTGGAGAATGAGTTCAAGGTTTTATTGAGTACAAGTAGCTCTCAGCAGATGGGGGAGCCAGAAGGGAGATGGCTTTTTCCTGGAGTCAGGCAGCTCAGGGACCTGGGCTCTCCTCTGACTGCCCCAGCCAAACTCTGTGTCATTCTGCTGGTCAATGGCCTGCGGCATGCTGGCATCTGTTGGTGTGCTCTTCCGCCAGAGTGCTCCCCTCGATGTCCTCTCAACGTCCAGCCACCTGTGTCTTTTTCCACCAATGTGTTCCTCACAATGTCCAGCCACTTGTGTATCTGACTGCTAGGGTTTCAGGGGTTTTTATAGGCACAGGATGGGGGTGTGGCAGGCCAGAGTGGTCTTGGAAAATGCAACATTTGGGCACAAAGACAGATGTGCCTGTCCTCACCTAGGTCTGTGGGGGTAGAGTCCTAGCCAGGCACCATGCCCTCCTCTACCCAGCCCTTCCATTCCCCACTTCCATATCATTTAAAAGGACCATGCTCTTTCCTTCCCAGCACTTCAGTATCAGTAGCCTCTAGGGAAGTGTTAGAATGAATACCCTTTTAGCAGTTGCCATCCCCAGACAGCTAAGCGTTAACCAGTTTAGTGGAGAGTCAGACAGCTTTTTACACCCTGTCCTCTTAGTACCCGGGTCCTTGTCTGGCATCCAGGAAGAATCGGGTCATGTGAACTTGAAGGATGGTGAATGCAGGGATTTTATTGACTGATGGAGGTGGCTCTCAGTGGGATGGATGGGGAGCTGGAAAGGGGATGTAGTGAGAAGATGATCTTCCCCTGGAGTTTGGCCATCCCCAGCTGAACTCCTCTTGACGTTCAGACGCTCCTTCTCTTCTCTTTCTTCGCCTTACTGCTCTGCCACCCAGCAGCTATTCTGCTCATGGAGCCTGGGGTTTAGCGTTTATATGGGTACAGGATTGGGTGGGTACGGCAGGCCAAAAGTCAACATTTGGGTGTGAAAACAGGAATGCCTGTTCCCATTTAGGGTCACAGGTTTCCAGGCTTGAGGGTGGGGCTTTTGCCAGGGAACTGCCCTCTTCTACCCAGTATTTCCCTGCCTCCTGTCCATCTCAGGAGAACCACTTGAGCCCAGGAGTTCTGGGCTATAGTGCTCTATGATGAGGTGTCTGCACTAAGTTTGGCATCAATGTGGTGACCTCCCCAGAGTGGGGACTGCCAGGTTGCCTAAGGAGGGGTGAACTGACCCAGGTTGGAAACAGAGCAGATTAAAAATTCCTGGGCTAATCAGTAGTGGAATTTCACCTGTTAACAGCCACGGCCCTCCAGCCTGGACAATACAGCAAGATACCATCTCTAAAAGAAATATAAAATTTGTTTTTAAAAAGAAGCAGCACCTGTTAGAGAGAGGAACTTCTGGTTTAATAAATCATGACTAAAGTGACTACATCTTTTTTTCTCTCTCTTTTTTTTTTTTTTTTTTTTTTTTGAGACAGAGTCTTACTCTGTCACCCAGGCTGAAGTGCAGTGGTGCAATCTTGACTCACTGCAACTTCCACCTCCCAGGTTCAAGCGATTCTCATGCCTCAGTCTTCCACTAGCTGGGATCACAGGCATGTGCCACCGTGCCTGGCTAGTTTTTGTATTTTTAGGAGAAACGGGGTTTCTCCATGTTGGCCAGGCTGGTCTTAAACTCCTGGCTTCAAGTGATCTGCCCACCTCGGCCTCCCAAGTGACTACATCTTAAAGTGCATAGCTGGGCACTCACAAGGCACCTATAAGGTTAATGCTTATGGTCTGAAAATAGCTACATCCCAAGCTGACCACCAATTATAATTACAGAATATTTATGGCCATACAGAACACCTCCTACCAAGCCTGCAGGATGTCCAGATGCCCTAAGAGTGAAGCCCACTTTACTTAAAGATAACCTTAATGAACAGGCTTAGATTAAAAGATTAATGGTCTTTAATAGCACCAATAACCCCTACCTTTAGTGAGAACATCTGCACATTCCAAGTTTAATTATAGCTCCTTACAGTTTTTTTTAAGAGATGAGGTCTCGCTCTGTTGCCCAGGCTGGAGTGCTGTGGCGAGATCTCAGCTCACTACAGCCTCCATCTCCCAGGTTCAAGCAGTTCTCCCACCTCAGCCTCCCGAGTAGCTGGGATTACAGGGTCCTGCCACCATGCCTGGCTAATTTTTGCATTTTTAGTAGGGACAGGGTTTCACCATGTTGGCCAGGCTGGTCTCGAACTCCTGACCTCAGGTGATCCACCCGGCTCGGCCTCCCAAAGTGCTGGGATTACAGGCGTGAGCCACCGTGCCCGGCTACAGATTTTTATGAGTAGAGGCACTAACAAAGGATCGAGCATTCCTCCTCCTGCTTTCTGAGGGCACCCCACTCTGTAGTTTCTAATAAACTTGGAGTAGTTTCTAATAAACTTGCTTCTTTCACTGTGCTCTGTGACTCACCTCTAATTCTTTCCTGTGAGAGATTCAAGAACCCTCTCTTGGGGTCTGGATGGGGACCCTCTTTTCTGGCAATGTGCCCACATGGGAGAGAAGGACCCAAAGATGCTTCCCCATGAGCCCCTCCTACATATTCTTTCTCTTCCCCCTACTGCCCCAAACCTCCTCTTCAACATCACCCAGAGGTCCTGGCCCCTGTGGAGCCCACCAATCTAGCAGGAATCCCCCCATCTGTCCTGGAGCTGAGGATAAGCACTTGAGGAACAAGTTCATTGGCTTAGGGAACTCTCTCCCTCTCTTGTCCTTCAGCCACAGGCTCTGCCGGGCCCCAGTCCTGGGCCGACAAGGAGCCTCAGCATTCAACGCTGGCTCCAGACCCCACCTGGCTCAAGACCCCACCCTTCAGATACTCCGTGGGAGGGCTCCTTGCAAGGGGTGCCAGCACTCTGACCTCTGATCAACAAAACAAACAAACCCTGACTGGTTAAAATGAATGTAAACCAAGAACTAGCAAGAAACAGGTTTTCATATAAACACTTTAGATATTTTAACAAAAATGAAATCAACATCTTGGAGAAACTAAAATACAACAAATCAGCTTCTGGTCTCCTGGTTTCTCCCAAGTTTTCCAACATGGCAGTGACTGCCATTTATTTTGTCACCAAAGAATCACAGAAAAGGAAGAAACTAGACTTTTTAAGTCCTACGTGTTTTCAGTGTAAACTGTTTTTAATCACTAAATGCATGTACCTCCTCCCGCAAGACTCCCTGGCTCTCCCTAACTCCAGTGAAACTGTGGGGAGAACCCTGGGCTTTGTACCCAGGACGGGGAGGGCAGAGAAGAATCCTACTCTCCTTGGGGCTGCTGTGAAGCGGTTGCATCTGAAAAAATATCTTCCTCAAGCTAAAAGGCTTCTCCACAGCAAAGGAAACAACCAACAAAGTGAAAACCCACACGATGGGAGAAAATATTTGCAAACTGTCCATCTGACAAGGGATTAATAACCAGAACATATAAGGAGCTTAAACAACTCAATAGCAAAAAATAAAAATAATCTGATTTAAAAAGTGGGCAAAAGATTTGAACAGACATTTCTCAAAAACAGACATACACATGGCTAACAGGTATAAGAAAAAATGCTCAATATCACTAATCATCAGAGAAGTGCAAATCAAAACCACAATGAGATATCATTGCACCCCAGTTAAAATGGCTTGTATCAAAAAGGCAGGCAATGGGTACAAAAAATAGAATTAATGAATAAGTCTTAGAATTAATGACGGCACAACAGGGAGACTACATCAATAATAATTTAATTATACATTTCAAAATAACTGAAAGAGTATAATTGAATTGTTGGTAACACAAAGAATAAATGCTTGAGGGGACGGATACCCCATTTTCCATGATATGATTATTACAGATTGCATGTCTATATCAAAACAGCTAATGTATCCCATATATACCTACTACGTACCCACAAGAATTAAAAATAAAAATAAGTAAATAAAGGCAGGCGATAACAGATCTGGCGAAGATGTGGAGAAAGGGGAATCCTCATACGCTGTTGGTGGGAATGTAAATTAGAACAGTATGGAGGTTCTGCAAAAAAACTAAAAATAGAACTACCATTTGGTCTAGCAATTTCACTGCTGGGTATATACTCAAAAGAAAGGAAATCAGTATATTAAAGAGATATCTCCCTCCCATGTTTACTGCAGCACTATTCAAAATATAGAATCAACGTAAGTACCCATCAACAGATGAATAAAGGAAATGTGTTATATTTACACAATGGAATATTATTCAGCTATAAAAAGAGTGAAATCCTGTCACTTGCAGCAGCATGGATGGAACCAGAGGCCATTATGTTAAGTGAAATAAGCCAAGCACAGAAAGACAAATATCGCATGTTCTCATTCATATGTGGAAACTAAAAACGTGGATCTCGTGATGATACCGAGTAGACTGCTATTAGCCAGAGTCCAGAAATGGGATGGGGGATGAAAATAAGGAAATGAGATAGGAGATACATATGTATTTATTACCACTTAACTGTACACTTAAAAATGATAAAGATGGTAAGTTTTAAAAAATTAAAATGTAGAGGCATGGTGGCTCACGCCTGCAATCCCAGCACTTTGGGAAGCCGAGGCAGGCGGATCATGAGGTCAGGAGATTGAGACCCTCCTGGCCAACATGGTGAAACCCCATCTCTTCTGAAAATACAAAAATTAGCTGGGCGTGGTGGCGCGTGCCTGTAATCCCAGCTACTCAGTAGGCCGAGGCAGGAGAATCTCTTGAACCCAGAGGCGGAGGTTGTAGTGAGCCGAGATCACGCCACTGCACTCCAGCCTGGGCAACAGAGTGAGGCTCCATTTCAAAAATAAAATAAAATAAAATTTTGAAAAAAAAGTGAGAGTCATACTAGGATGAAACAGACCTTCAGGAAGAATACTGGAGTCCAAAAAACGAATTCACTGTGCAGCTAAGAAAAAAAATGTTGATTTCTGTAGCTCCACTTTACGAAACACTAGCAGCAGCAGCAGTAGCAGTAGGAGGAGAGTAGTGGCTGTAGTAGTAGTTGTAGTCGTGTAGCCGCAGCGCCAGCAGTAGTAGTAACTAGGTTTTGTGAGTGTTTTGCATGTGCCGGATTCCATCTGTGTTATATGCTTTACAATTTAACATGGATAAACCACAGCCAGTAGAAAATTTCACTTCACAATTTTTCCTTCCTTTTTAGCTGGTGAGAAATCTGCCTATGTTTTCTTCCTGGCATGAGGGGCTAAAATCATTTCCAATCCAGCAAGCAGAACAGCCCCTGCCAAAGAGAGAGAGAAAAATTCTTCAACATCATATATCTGCAGGCGGAAGGAGGGGACAGAACCATTACTGTGTTAAAAGACTGAGAAGTCACTCAGTGAAGACACATGTTTGCATATCTGAACGCAGTGTTTCCCAAATTTATTTGACCATGGAGCGAGGTTTTTTTTTTTTTTTTTTCTTTAAGGCAGAGTTTTACTCTTGTTGCCCAGGCTGGACACGATCTCGGCTCACTGCAACCTCCGCCTCCCTGGTTCAAGTGATTCTCCTGCCTCAGCCTCCCGAGTAGCTGGGATTACAGTCACCCATGACCATGCCTGGCTAAATTTTTTTGTATTTTTAGTAGAGATGGGGTTTCACCATGTTGGCCAGGCTGGTCTTGAACTCCTGACCTCAAGTGATCCGCCCGCCTCGGCCTCCCAAAGTGCTAGGATTAAAGGCGTGAGCCACCGGGCCTGGCCGGAGCAAGTATTTTGGGGCATCAGAGATGCCCAGACTCCTCAGTTTATACTTGGGAAAATGTTGATTTGGCCAAAAGGCAAGTTTTTGAGTCAGGCTGAGTTTTAACTCTGCCCTTTGGCAGCTGTTCATTGTCGGGCAAGGTACAAGGCTGTTTCCTTATCGGTGAGACCTAGAATAATATTGCCAACATTTAGTGTGCAGTAAGGAGCAGCTGATATTCAAGACATCTAAAATTCCTGGCACACAATACATTTCCAGTAAATGACAGCTTTTTTTTATTATTTCTCAGAAGAAACAGCACCAGCATAGCTCTGGACAACTCCAAGTCCCTCCCCTTAGTGCACCTCAAACCTCTCCCTCAACACTCTAACTGCCCTTAGTCAATATATTATTAATGACTCCAATTCTGTCCCTTCCGGGGATGAGGATGTAGTGAAAGAATTGGCCAAGGTGATTAATAAAAAACCATCCGACTCTCCGGTTCTCTGGACAACAGTTTAGGCAAGGCAGACCCAGCCCGAAGGCCCAGGTGCTGGGTGGTCCTAGCAATGCCCTTGGGACCCAGCCAGAAGCACAGAGGGGTCGGAGAAATAGGATTGAGGCTTATGGAAACGATACTATGGAGAACTGCATTGTAGACTGTAGAGGAAATCCCTCCACTCCAGGTTATTTGAGTCCAAATCCCTGGAAGGTATTGTACAACTCTAGATAACAGCAAGCACAACAAACTGTGGTCTATAGACAATTTCGTCCTGCTCCTGGAGGTTCAACTGACTTCCCTTTACCCACTTTGCTTCCCTTTACACACTAACTTTAATATTCCTAATCTATGACTGTATCTGCCTTCCCACTCTTCCCTTGAACTGGTGTATTAGTCCATTTTCACACTGCTGATAAAGACATACCCAAGACTGGGTAATTTATAAAGAAAAAGAGGTTTAATGGACTCACAGTTCCACATGGCTGGGGAGGCCTCACAATCATGGTGGAAGGCAAAAGGCACATCTTACATGGGGGCAGACAAGAGAAAATGAGAGCCAAACAAGAGGGGAAACCTTTGTAAGACCATCAGATTGTGTCCAAAATTGGTGGGTTCTTGGTCTCACTGACTTCAAGAACGAAGCCACAGACCCTCCCGGTGAGTGTTATGGTTCTTAAAGATGGTGTGTCCGGAGTTTGTTCCTTCTGATGTTCGTATGTGTTTGGAGTTTCTTCCTTCTGGTGAGTTCATGGTCTCACTGGCTTCAGGAGTGAAGCTGCAGACCTTCACAGTGAGTGTCACAGCTCTTAAGGTGGCGCGTCTAGAGTTGTTTGTTCCTCCCGTCCAGAACTGTTCGTTCTTCCCATCCGGAGTTATTCATTCCTCCTGTTGGGAGTTGTTCGTTCCTCCCAGTGGGTTCGTGGTCTCGCTGGCCTCAGGAGTGAAGCTGCAGACCTTCGTGATGTTACAGCTCTTAAGGCGGTGCGAACCCAAAGAGTAAGCAGCAGCAAGGTTTACTGCAAAGAGCGGAAGAACAAAGCCTCCACAGGGTGGAATGGGACCAAAGCAGATTGCGGCTGCTGGCTCAGGCAACCTGCTTTTATTCCCTTATCTGGCCCCACCCACATCCTGCTGATTGGTCCATGTTACAGAGAGTTGATTGGTCCGTTTTGACAGGTGCTGATTGGTTCTACAAACCTTTAGCTAGAAACAAGTTGTCCAAGTCCCCAAATAGATTAGCTAGACACAGAGCACTGATTGGTTTACAAACCTTGAGCTAGACACAGAGCACTGATTGGTGCATTTACAATCCTTTAGCTAGACACAAAAGTTCTCCAAGTCCCCAAATAGATTAGCTAGACACAGAGCACTGATTGGTTTACAAACCTTGAGCTAGACACAGAGCACTGATTGGTGCATTTACAATCCTTTAGCTAGACACAAAAGTTCTCCAAGTCGCCACTAGATGAGCTAGACACAGAGCACTGATTGGTGCATTTACAAACCTTGAGCTAGACACAGGGTGCTGACTGGTGCATTTACAAACCTTGAGCTAAACACAGAGTGCCGATTGGTGCGTTTACAAACTTTGAGCTAGACACAGAGCGCTGATTGGTGCATTTACAATCCTTTAGCTAGACATAAAAGTTCTCCAAGTCCCCACCCAACTCTGGAGCCCAGCTGGCTTCCGCCTAGTGGATGCCATGCCTGGACTACAGGCGGAGCTGCCCGCCAGTCCCCATGCTGCCCACCCGCACTCTTCAGCTCTTGGGCAGTCGATTGGACCAGGCGCCTAGAGCAGGGGGCAGCACCTGGGGGAGACTCGGGCCATGTGGCAGCCCACAGGGTGGGGTGGGGTGGGGTGGGGGTCTCAGGCATGGCATGCTGCAGGTCCTGAGCCCTGCCCCACGGGGAGGTGGCTGAGGCCTGGCAAGAATTCGAGCGCAGCGCCAGCCAGCAGTGCTGGGGGACCCAGCGCACCCTCTGCAGCTGCTGACCTGGGTGCTAAGCCCCTCACTACTGGGGCAGTGGTGCCCGCTGGCGGCTCCGAGTGTGGGGCCTGCCGAGCCCACGACCACCCGGAACTCACGCTGGCCCACCAGCGCTACACACAGCCCCAGTTCCTGCCCGCACCTCTCCCTCCGCACCTCCTCGCAAGCAGAGGGAGCCGGCTCCAGCCTTGGCCAACCCAGAGAGGGGCTCCCACAGTGCAGCAGCAGGCTGAAGGGCTCCTCAAGCGTGGCCAGAGCGGACGCCCAGGCTGAGAAGGTGCCGAGAGCGAGCGAGGGCCGCCAGCACGTTGTCACCTCTGAAGATCTCGGCCAGGCCTGCTCTGTGACTTCCGCCACGCTCCCACGGGTGGCGGCGAGGAGCCTGAGCCGGCGATGGTGCTACAGGAGGCGCTGGAGCCGGCCATGTGCCTGGATCGCTACCCGCATGTGCAGCTTGAGGCCTCGGAGCTGCTGCTGGAAGATGGCGGCTCAGCCCTGGCCACTGAGCTCAACACCGCCAAGCTTGCCCTGGCCTATGCAGGCATGGAGATGAATGACTTGGTGGTGAGCTGCGGCCTGGGCCTCACGCCAGGGTCCGTGCCCACCTGGCTGCTGGACCCCATGCGGCTCGAGGAGGAGCACACCGCCCCCGGTGTCACCTTGGCACTCCTGCCCATGCTGAATCAGGTGGCCCGGCTGCTGGCTGCAGGGAGGGCGGCCTGACCATGAGCTGGGTGGAGGCTGTAGGCCTGGGCCTCGAGGGCTGCGAGCCCTCGACCCCATGCTGCAGCAGTGCCTGGTGTGGGCTGCCTGCCACAGGGGCACCACTGCCCCACCCTGAACCAGAAGCCTGAGCAACGACAGACGCCACGCTGAGGACCGTGCTGCCACCGTCCTTTTGGGGACTCATGACATTGGCCTCCAGCCTGCATTGAGATAAACAGCCGGAGCCCCGGAGAGCACCTGGGGAGGCTCGAGCAGAGTCTGCTGTGGTGTTAGAAGGGTTTTGGTTTTTTTTTGTGAGACAGAGTCTCGCTCTGTCGCCCAGGCTGGAGTGCAGTGGCGCGATCTCGGCCAACAGGGTTTGATCTATTGAAAAGGGCTCCCTAGGCTCTGTTCTCTCTTAAGGTTTAATAAGTATCAGAAACACATCAAAAGAGACCTGTTCTCTCCTTACTGCATATGCATTTTCTTTCTCTCCATCCTGTGGATGCCAATAAACATTTAAGGATTTTGAGGACTAAAAAGATATGAATCTTGACTTACCAATCTCCCTGATACAAGTATTATCCTATTGATGTTCTATAAAAAGCAATTATTGTAACCATCCAACAGGTTCTTCTTGCTCGCTGCCTAGACACAGACAATTTATCAAGACAGGGGATTGCAATAGAGAAAGAGTTTAATTCACGCAGAAACAGCTGTACAGGAGACTGGAGTTTTACTATCACTCAAATCAGTTTCCCTGAAAATGAAGTGATCAGAGTTTTTAAGGACAATTTAGTAGGTAGGGGCCAGTGATTCAGGAGTGCTGATTGATAGGGCTGGAGGTGAAATAATAGGGAGTCAAAGTTGTTCTCTCGCGCTGAGTCAGTTCCTGGGTGGGGACCACGAGACCAGATGCGCCAGTTTATTAATCTGGGTGGTGGCAGCTGATCCATCAAGGATCTGCAGGGTCTGCAAAATATCTCAAACACTGATCTTAGGTTTTATAATAGTGATGTTATCCCCAAGAGCAATTCGGGGAGGGTCAGAATCTTGTAGCCTCCAGCTCTGTGACTCCTAAATCATAATTTCTAACCTTGTGGCTAACTTATTAGTCCTACAAAAGCAGTCTAGTACTTAGGCAGAAAGGGGATCTGTTTTGGGAAAGGGCTGTTAGTGTCTTTGTTTCAAAGTTAAACTATAAACTAAGTTCTTTGCAAAGTTTGGCCTATGCCCAGGAATGAGCAAGGGCAGCTTGGAGGTTAAAAGCAAGATGGAGTTGGTTGGGTCAGATCTCTTTCACTGTGATAATTTTCTCAGTTATAATTTTGCAACAGTGGTTTCATTATTATTTCTACAAACCAAGAAAAAATTTATTTTAAAAGTCAATGTCATTCCACTCCAACTACACTAACTGAGCCATAACAGAGCTCTCTAAATTAGTCATCTGTGTACACGTGGACTTTGGTTTTTAACGCATATTGGAAATGTCATTTCCTTTATTCATCTTATGAACTGACCCCATAAAATTCTTCATATCAAACAGTTCTCAACCACGTGGGCTAACAAAGCAGAAAGTAAAATAATAGTCACGTTCAATCATTTATTTGGCCCATGTGATTAAAATAAACATTGTAAGGCCTGGATTTATATAGCCTTTAAACTTTTAGACAGAACTTTCACATACATTTTCCTGTAAGCTTATTGGACAGGTATTGCTATTCTGGTTGGAAAGGTTCAGAAACAAGGCACAAATAAGTAAATATTTTAGATCAAACAGTATCAGAAAGGATTTGTGTTTAATTTTCAAAAACAAGTACAGTTGATTCTCACAATTCATGGTAGTTATGTTCTATAAAGTCACCACAAACACTGAATTAGCAAATACTTCTCTTAGGGGAAACACAGAGTTATAGGTTCCTGCAAGACCCGGTCAAGTTTTTATCAACTAATCACTATATAACCTTGTTTTTTTGTGTGTTTCTGTATAAAGACACTTTATTTCTTATTTAACATACATTGTTGATTTATCAACATTGAACTCATGGTTAGTAGCACTGTAGCTCATGCATAAACAAAGCTTATCTAACACCCATATTTTCCCTGGAAGTTACGTCACACAGCCTTTTTGTGCCTAGGAACACTGAACAGCACCCAGCACTCTGCTTGGAGCCATTTTATACAGTAAAATCACCAACAAAAAGCACAACAGTGCAACAACAACAACAAAAAAAAAGTGACACAAAAAGGACTTTGTTTATGTTATGAGAGCTGGCTATGTTCTGAATGTTTGTGTCCCTCCAAAATTCATACATTGAAAACCTAACCCCGAAGGAGATGGCATTAGGAAGGGGGGGGCCTTTGGGAAGTGTATTAGTCCATTCTTGCATTGCTATAAAGAAATACCTGAGACTGGGTAATTTATAAAGAAAAGAGGTTTAATTCGCTCACAATTCTGCAGGTTCTAAAGGAAACATAGCAACTTCTGCTTCTAGGGAGGCCTCAGGAAACTTACAATCATGGTGGAAGGCAAAGGGGAAGCAGGCCCATCTTATATGGTGGCAGCAGGAGCAAGAGGCTGAGGGGATGCTACCCACTTTTAAACAACCATATTTCATGAGAACTCGCTCACTATCATGAGAACAGCACCAACAGGAATGGTATAAAACCGTCATGAGAATTCTGCCCCCATGATCCAGTCACCTTCCAACAGGCCCCACCTCCAACATTGGGAATTACAATTCAACATGAGACGTGGGCAAGGACACAGATCCAAACCATATCAGAAGATGATTAGATCATGAGATCACAGCCCTCCTGAATGGGATTAGTGCCTTTATAGAAGAGACTCCAGAGAGTTCTCTTGTCTCTTCCACCATGTGAGGACACGGTGAGAAGACGGCCAGCCCTTGAACCAAGAAGCAGGCTCTCCCCAGACACTGTATATGTTACTGGCTTGATCTTGGACTTCCCCGCCTCCAAAACTGTGAGAAATAAAACATAAAGCAACTGTCAGATTCTAATAAAGCATTCTGAGGATTACAACAATGAAAAGGCTGCAGAGGCCCAGACCCCTTCACCTTCATGGGAAGGGCATAGGTTCTCTCTGGCTGCATTTCTGAGAGCACGTGCTTTGTACCCACACCCACAAGATGTTCTCAAAGGAATAAACTGGTTCTAGGGCAGCTTAGCTTGAGAAAGACTAAATATTATAACATGATCTTGTTGGGGTACAGAATATGATACCCCACAATATGGCACTTTGGCATTCTGAGTACTTTGAAAATTGAAAGGCCTCAGAAATTAGCCTCAGAACCAAGGCCTTTCTCTGATCTCCCCCCACTGCCCCCAACCCTGGTCTCTCTCTCTCTCTGATCCTCTGTCTCTCCCAAAGTACAGAATGAAGCTGTTTTCTGAAGTTCCTTGCTCCACCTAGAAACTGAACCCCAAAGAGGAACAAAATCGCTTTTGATCCCTTCCCTGAAATTTCATTAACCAGAGAAAATTAAAACTCCTATCACAGAGGAAGACTGAAAATTGAATAACACTCCTGCAGCCCAGACAAACTTCGTGCTAGGCCACTGCGTGTCCTCTGGTCCCATTCAATTCCCAAAGAGAATTATTTACTTACCATTGTCTGAGCATTAGGTCCATTCTTTCCCCTGAAAATTATTTACCCCAGCAGCCCCCATTTCCTCTTGCTGTGTGAAGTAACAAATGTAAGTATCTGAACCCCATTGGATTATTGGATTATCATTCTTCTGCAATTCCCTTGTGCCGCGCACATTAAAATACATTTGTATGCCCTTTTCTCCTAATAATCTGCCTTTTGTTAGTTCATTTTCAGCAAACCTTCAGAGGTTGAAGGGGGGAAGCTTTCCCTCTCTCCCTTATAGTTTTTTTGTTGGTTTGTTTGTTTTTGTTTGTTTTGAGGCAGAGTCTCACTCTGTCAGCCAGGCTGAAGTGCAGTGGCATGATATCGGCTCACTGCCACCTCCTTCTCTCGGGTTCAAGTGGTACTCCTGCCTCAGCCTCTTGAGTAGCTGGGATTACAGGCGCACATCACCACACCCAGCTAATTTTTGTATTTTTAGTAGAGACAGAGTTTCACCATGTTGGCCAGCTGGTCTTGAACTCCTGACCTCAGGTGATCAACCCACCTCTGCCTCCCAAAATGTTGGGATTATAGGCGTGAGACACCGCGCTTGGCCCCCTCATATAGTCTTAATGATCTGAATGCAAATTAGCATATTGAAGATTCTGAGAAGCACATGAAAGGTCTTGCATAAAACAAGACTGCTTGCCTTTTCACATTTAATCCAATGTTTCCCAGAATTATTCACACAAGCTATATCGAATCCAAGGCAAAAGAAAGTTCTGTTATCTGTGATTCCCATATTCAACTCATGTTATTTGTTATAGTTTGCATAGCCTAAGAAGCTGCCTGTGATCATTTCTTCAATCAGTTGAATTATCAATTTATTTATTAAAATATAGCTTCAAGTTCTCACCTCAAAACCACTCACATTTGTAAAGCCAATTTACTGCCAAAACTGGCTCTGATCTCCTCCTTTCAGGGATAGGAAGATGTGAGGATTTTGATTAGGGACTCTAAGATAGTGACATTCCACAGATTCCCTTCTTTTCCATTCTGGTCTTAGGAAGTAGTCCTTTGGGCTGGGTGCGGTGGCTCAAGCCTATAATCCCAGCACTTTGGGAGGCTGAGGTGGGTGGATCACCTGAGGTCGGGAGTTCGAGACCAGCCTGATCAACATGGTGAAACCCCATCTCTACTAAAAATACAAAAAATTAGCCGGGCATAGTGGCGGGTGCCTGTAATCCCAGCTACTCAGGAGGCTGAGGCAGGAGGATCCTTGAACCTAGGAGGCGGAGGTTGCAGTGAGCCAAGATCACACCATTGCACTCCAGCCTGAGCAACAGAGTGAGACTCCATCTCAAAAAAAAAAAAAAAGAAAGAAAGAAAAGAAAAAGAAAGTAGTCTTTGGCAATTTGTCTCTAAATCCAGGATCTTCGAGGCAGAAGAATAGCCTTGCAGGAGGAGCAGAAAGCGGAAGATCCTTCAGCCCTGTGTGGAAACAAACAGACCCTCACGACCCACCTAGGTCTTATCCTTGGTGCTGTCTTGAGATTCCCTTCCCAGCAGGTCCATGCAAAGCTAAGTTACATCACTAAATAGACAGCTTATACTTTCTTCTCATTTCCAAATAACCCTGTATTCATAGGCTTAGCTTCAGAGAAGCCATCGTGCCACAGGTGGGAGATGCAGCCAGGGCTGAGGAGGGTAGGGTAGTTTAGGCGATTTCTGTTTCTCTTTGTGTTGCTTCATTAAACCTTCATTAAATTCTGCTCCAAAAAGGAGTCTACAACTGTTACTTGCAGAATATCTCCATTTAAAATCATTTAGCCCCTGAAAACTCCAGTTGATTTTAGCTTGTACCATTCAGGCCAAAGATTATCTTCTAACTCAGAAGAATATACAAAAATGCCTTCCTCAGCCTCAAACTGGAAAAAGATCCTGTATCTGCTCTCAGAATGAGCACGAAGTAAACCTACAAAGGGCTTCCTGTATTTAACCCCTTCTGTTTCCTGCCTCGTGTGTTCTCAGCCCATCTTTTTTTTTTTTTTTTTTTTTTTTTCTGAGACGGAGTCTCGCTCTGTCACTAGGCTGGAGTGCAGTGGTGCGATCTCAGCTCACTGCAACCTCCGCCTCCCGGGTTCAAGCGATTCTCCTGCCTCAGCCTCCCGAGTAGCTGGGACTACAGGCGCCCGCCACCATGCCCGGCTAATTTTTTTGTATTTTTAGTAGAGATGGGGTTTCACCGTGTTAGCCAGGATGGTCTCGATCTCCTGACCTCGTGATCCGCCCGCCCCGGCCTCCCAAAGTGCTGGGATTACAGACGTGAGCCACCACGCCCGGCCCTTAGCCCACCTTTTACCCAGCCATTGTGCAAGTGGACTCTGATAGAACCTACCCCAGATGTCCCTATTTCCCTTACTTGCTGCCCCAGGGCTTCTCTGCAGCTAATGAGTGGGCCACCACCCAGAAACATTCAACTGCAGGCGTGCAAACCTAGAGCACAAGGGAGTTAACACTCTGGAGCAGCTTCAATCAATGAGGGCGAGTCAGTAAGAAAATATGACTATCTTCTGCTTCTCAAGAGAATCATTCCAAGATGCAGTCTACACAGCTCTTCAAAGGGTCCCTGTGGATGGCATGGCAGTGACCAACCAGCTCCACAATGCAATCTTGCATGAATCGGCTTTCTCTACCGTTTCCTTCTTCCTGCTCTCCCCTGCCCCAACTCCTGTTTCTTCAATCACTTCCCCAAATTAACACCAGCACACGACCCTTATCTCAGGCTCTGGTTTCTGGGAGGAGGCAGGCTGAGATGGCTTCCTTCCATGAGATCCTGTAGGACAATTCCCTGATCTTTAGCACACACAAAAGAAAAGAAAGAAAGAAAAAGACTCCTTAAAAAAGTAATATAGGCCGGGCGTAGTGCTCACACCTGTAATCCCAGCACTTTGGGAGGCCGAGGCGGGCCTATCACCTGAGGTCAGGAGTTCAAGACCAGCCTGGTCAACATAGTGAAACCCCATCTCTACCAAAAATACAAAAATTAGCCGGGTGTGGTTGTGGGCGCCTGTAATTCCAGTTATTTGGGAGGCTGAGGCAGGAGAATCACTTGAACCCAGGAGGTGGAGGTTGCAGTGAGCTGAGATGATGGCACCGCACTCCAGCCTAGGTGACAGAGTGAGACCCTGTCTCAAAAAAAAAAAAAAAGTAATTTATGTGTTCATTAAAATTAGTCATTGGCTTTTAAATAGGATTTTTGTATCTTATAAAAAATTATTTAAAATTATTACGTGTACATGTGTGTGGTTGTTAGACATCTTTGAATAGGTGATAATATCTTATTAAGTTCTTTCATTAATTGAGTTTAAAAATATTTGACACCCATTGATTTTATATTTGTATGAGAGTCATGATTTTACTTTTTTAAAAAATTGCTCTTTAAATAACAGATGCTACTGAGGTTGCAGAGAAAAGGGAATGCTTATACACTGTTGGTGGGAATGTAAATTAGTTCAACCATTGTGGAAAATAGTGTGACATTTCCTCAAATACCTAAAAACAGAAATACCATTTGACCCAGCAATCCCAAAACTAGGTATATACCCAAAGGAATATAAATCATTCTATCATAAAAACACATGCACATGTACATTCATTGCAGCACTACTCACAATAGCAAAGACATGGAATCTAAATGCTCATCAATGGTAGACTGGATAAAGAAAATGTGGTACATATACACCATAGAATACTATGCAGCCATAAAAAATGAGATCATGTCCTTTGCAGGGACATGGATGGAGCTGGAGGCCATTATCCATATCAAACTCATGCAGAAATAGAAAACCAAATACCGCATGTTCTCACTTAGTAGTGGGAGCTAAGTTATGAGAATACATGGATACATAGAGGGAAACAACACACACCAGGGCCTATCAGAGAGTGGAGGGTGGGAGGAGGGAGAGGACCATGAAAAATAACTAATAGGTACTAGGCTTACTACCGGTTAATGAAATAATCTATACAACAATCCCCATGACACAGTTTACCTGTGTAACAAACCTGCACATGTACCCCAGAACTTAAAATAAAAGGTTTTTTATTTATTTATTTATTTATTGAGATGGAGTCTCGCTCTGTTGCCCAGGCTAGAGTGTAGTGGCGTGATCTCTGCTCACTGCAACTTCCGCTCCCCAGGTTCAAGGGATTCTCTCTTCTCAACCTCCCGAGTAGCTGGGACTACAGGTGCCCACCACCATGCCCAGCTATGTTTTGTATTTTTAGTAGAGACAGGGTTTCACCATGTTGGCCAAGCTGGTCTTGAACTGCTGACCTTGTGATCCACCCGCCTCAGCCTCCCAAAGTACTGGGATTACAGGCATGAGCCACCACGCCTGGCCAAGGTTTTTCTTTAATTGCTCTTTAATAGTTGAGGATTCATGAATTACTGTCAAAAAAACTCAGTCATTTTGTGACCTGGCTCCAAGTAGTCATGTGGACTTTCCCTATAAGATTGTCATGAAGGGAAGATCAGACATCTGTCTTATTAACCTCTCTACCCCCACTGACACAAAGCTGACACATGGTAGGTTCTTAATGAATATATGAATGGAAAAGCTAAACTCGGTAAAATAATTTAAAGAGGTTTCTTCTGAGCCAAGATGAGTGACCTCAGGCAGGGGAAAACAAAAACCCAAGAAGTCTTGAGTAAGTGAGCCCAAGGAGATCAGATTACAGTTTGGTTTTATACATTTTAGGGAGACAGGAGTATCAGGCAAAGGCATAAATCAATGCATGGAAGGTATACGTTGGTTTGGCCCAAAAAGAAAGGATATTTTAAAGCAGAAGCTAACAGGTGTATAGGTGGATTTAGAGATTATTTAATTTGTAATCGGTTAGAGTAGTAAGGCTCTCTCTAAAACTTGTAGTCAGCAGAAAGGAATATCTTAAATTCAGATTAGGATGCTATGTAGCAAAATCAATGGCCTGCAGGCGTGATTTAACCCTTGCCTTGCATGGTCTCAGGTCTTGTTTATAATTTGGTATCTCATCTCGACAGAAGTCTGTTTTGTCAGTCCGATGGTCTCTATTTTAACATTAATGCTGGCCAGTTGTGCTTAAACTCTAAGAGGGAGGGAATATAGCAAGGTATGTCTGACCTCCATTCTCATCATGTCCAGGAATTCCATTTTTAAGGTTTTCTTGGGTCCCTCTGGCCAAGAGGGGATCCTGTTCAATCAGAGGGGGGCTTAGGATTTTATTTTATTTTATTTTAGAAACGTTTGTAGAATAAATGAATTCATGTGGTCATGGTATCCCTTATGCCAAGGTCAGTAAGGGACCTAACCATGTGTGAGGTGATAAACTTTCCGATGAGAATGTTTCTTTCCCTACATCTGTCTTTGTTATGTGCCACGCCCATGATTTCTGATTCCTTTGCCCTGGGGAGGCAGGTTTCTAATTTGAAAAGGAAGCCAGAAAAAAATGTCAGGAAAAAATAAATTGTGATGGAGAAAAGAAAGAGTAATGTCCTGAATAGGAAGGGGTGATAAGTGAAGAGAATAAAAGCAGTTTTGATATTGATGTGCTTATTGAATTTAAAATGCAAAGATACATTTTATGAGAAATGCATATTGAAGGTAGAAGTTAGAGAAAAGAGCAAAAGACCCTGTGGTTTTAAATCTAATAGAATCTGTGACAGGCAGGAGGAAATCTAACGTCTTGAATTGATATGGACGAAAATGAGAAGTAATACAAGAAAATGAGTGATTATTTCTCTTCCTAGAGTAGTGTGGTCTAATAAAAGTATGATGTGAACCACATACGCAATTTTAAATTTTCTAGTAGCAAGATTAAAAAGTAAAAACAGACAGGTAAGATCAATTTTAACAACGTTTCATTTCTCAGTATGTTGAAAATATCTTTGTAACATGTAAACAACATGTAAAAATTACTTAATGAGCTATTTGACATTCTTCGTTTTCATGCTAAGTCTTTAAAATGCAGTGTGTATTTTATGTTTAAAGCATATCTCAGTTCAGACAAGCCACATCTCAAGTGGTCAATAGCCATGTGTGGCTGGCGGCCACCGTATTGGACAACACATGTATGCAACTTCAAGGTGACAAGGCTCCTGTATTTTGATTCAGTGGCAGATTTATTAAATCACTTCCAATTTCTATTTATTAGAAAACATTGGGTCTTCATGGTCCCCTTAATCTTTCTAAAATTTCAACTTTCCTTTAAACAAAAGAAAAATAGTACTCTGCATATCATTACATTTTGATGTTTGGTGTTATTAAGTACTTATTTCAGTATCAGCCAAAATGTCAAAAAAAAGTCTGATTCAAATAAAATGAAAGTCGTAAGAGCCAAACTTGTCCTTAAATCTTCACATTCACATTTACCATTAGCTCCTTGTAGATCTGTGTTTCAAGAGGAAATATCAGAATGCAGGAGAGTGACTGTGTCGGGACATCTCAAAACCACTCCAGCCCTGTTCTGTGGCTGGGATTGCGAGGAGGCATTTGGAAGGGTCACGAGAGCCTTAGGTTATACTATACCACTTACTAACATCACAGGAGCTTCTGGGTGTCATTTTGCCAGCCAGAAACCTCTGTGGCTGGTGGTGCCTTTGTCCGAGTTTTGCTTGGGCTGGCTAGGCTCATTCCACCCACTCAGCCCAGCAGGCTGTACTCAGCCCACACTACCGGCCCAGATCCCACGCCTGCCAAGGGCAAGCCAGGCACAGAGTGGTGAGGGATGTGTAAGTGAGCGAGCATGGGGTCTGGACACTGCACACAACCAGGCATGCCAGCTGCTGCAGCGGGATGGGCAGCTCCAGACACCAGCTCCCTGCGAGGCCTCAGTTGGACCAGATGTACTACGAGTGGTTTCCCCTGTGGGCACCAGTGTCTGGACTGGGTAACAAAGTAGCTTGGAGATGCCAGAAGCCGCAGAGCCCTAAAGAGGGTGCTACAGCCCTGGCTGGGGGAGCCCCTAGGTCTGGGCTTCCTGAGGGGCTGCAGCTCTTCTCTCCTTCTTGTCACCTGCAACTTGGAAAACAGGGGTGCGTGTTTCAGCCCTGTTTGTGTTACAGCTCTTTCAGTCCCACCATTTGGGTTTCCTGAGTTATTGTCATGCATCCAGGAGGAATGAGATACATGGACAAATGGAGGGTGAACAAGGTGGAGAAGAGATTTATTGAGCCACAGTACAGCTCTCAGGAGACCCGAAGTGGGTAGCTCCTGACAGGTAGCAGGTCATCCCAACATCTGTGCAGCTCTCGGCAGAGAGGAGACCTGGAGTGGGTAGCTTCTATCTGCAGGCAGGGCGTCCTGCCATTGGCTTGAGTCTGGCTGAATGGGGGGGTTTATGGGCTAGGAAGGGAGGAAGTACATGCTGATTTATCCCTGGATGGCCATGGGCAGGCCCTGAAAAAAGCACCATAAGTTCTCACTCTGGGCTGCAGACTTCACCTAGAACTGACAGCCTGGCTCCCAGGCTTCAGGCCATCCCTGGCTTGAAGGTGGGCAGGGACCTCCCCATTTTACCCAGGAAGCTGTCTGTCTCCCGCCATCAATGTGCCATCCATGATGCCCAGGCTGTTCATGCCAAGGGGTGCTTTCAGGCTCACGTAGAGCCACCCTCAGCACCTCCCAGCCTCCCTCCCACACTCTTTGGTGCCCAAAGTCCAAAAAGGGCTGAGGCGGTGTGTCAGCATGGTCCTGAGCACATGCACACCTGGCTGGGTCACTACAGGGCCCAGGCTAGGCTACCTTGTTCCACATCAGAGCAGGCCCTAGATATGGGGAGAGGCCAGGGAATAAGAGGAGGAACTTCCGAGCCTGTGGGGGTAGGGGGAGCTTCCCTGGCCCCCAAGAGTGCAGGGATGCCGGAGCCTGGAGCTGCAGCTGGGCAGCTATAGCTATGCCTGGGGAGCCTGGGGCTCCCACCCCGCCAGCGCGGCCAACTCAGTAGGAGGCAGGGCTCTGACCTGTTCCTGGCCCCCAAGAACACAGGAATACCAGGGCCTGGAGCCTGTTCCCAGCTCCTGCTGGCTTCCTGGAGGGCGCAGTCCCAACCACACCCTTCTCCCCCATTACAGCCGGCATCTTCACAGTGGCCACTCCAGACAGGCCACTATTGCCATCACTAATTCCCTCTTTCAGAATTACCTAGAAGCCTCAGAGGACCCAGTACGCTGTGGGGGAAGAAAAGGAATAAAAGCTCCCACCCACTCCCAGATTCAGCCCCACAGACTTGCATTTCCCAAGTCCCCACCTTCTGTATCCCATAAAGATCGTTTGCCTTTAGCCATGGTACTCAGGGTGAGCTTGGCTATGGCAGGGCCTCTATAACCTTCATCAGCACCTTTCCTTGGCCAACCTCAATAAACAGTCATTAAAACAGTGGGCAGCTATACGAACAAAAAACCACAGGGATGTTCCCTGATCCCAGCTACTTTCCAGACACACCTTGGTTCCAAAGTCAAATTCTGGAGCTGACTCTGACAGAGACCACCAGGTCTAGGACCCAAAGTTCAGTGCCAGGCTCAAAGGATACAAGACAGAGGCAGACTGGCAGGACTCAGAGACTCCATCCAACTTTGCCCCTCCTGAAGCCACAAGACAGGGAATGCCTGGGGCTACCAGGAGCTGGAAGAGGAAGGAAGGATTCTCTCTAGAGTCTTTGCAGAGAGAGCAAAGCCCTGCTGACACCTGCTGGCTTCCAGAACTGTAAGGGAATGCATTTGTATTGTTTGAAGATGTCCATGTTTGTGGTCATTTGTGATAACAGCCCTAGGAAACTAATGCACCCATATGTCAGACATTATTACAGACAGGCATCCTTATGGTTGGATCAGCTGGATCCTGGAAGAATTGAGCTCACCTGGGAGCTCTTACTCCCCTGGCAAGCAAAAGGGAACTCTGAATGCTGAACAATGTGCCAGGAAATGGTTATTTATATGAAAGCTATTGGTGGGAAGAGGAATGGGTTCTCAAACCTGGCTGATTATCAGAATCCCTGGGGCTATTTTTAAATAGCCAGGTTGTTGTTGTTGTTGTTGTTGTTGTTGTTGTTGTTGTTGTTTGAGAGGGGGTTTTGCTCTTGTTGCCCAGGCTAGAATGCAATGGCACGATCTCGGCTCACTGCAACCTCCACCTCCCGGGTGCAAATGATTCTCCTGTCTCAGTCTCCCAAGTAGCTGGAATTACAGGCTCCCTCCGCCATGCCCAGCTAATTTTTGTATTTTTAGTAGAGATGGCGTTTCATCATATTGGTCAGGCTGGTCTCAAACTCCTGACCTCTGGTGATCCGCCTGCCTTGGCATCCCAAAGTGCTGGGATTACAGGCGTGAGCCACTGTGCCCGGCCTAAATATCCAGGTTCTTAGAGCTCATCCACAACCTTATAAATCAGAATTTCTAGTAGTACAGCCAATAAGCTGAATTTTTAAGGGTCCCCTGAGGTTTCTGCTTTTCGACTTGGTCTCATCTCCATGCCAGGGTGAGAGGGGGTTTACTTCTCTATGATGTGTGTGTAACAGGCGCCATCCTGACCAGAGGAGGGCAGGGACAAGAAGACTTCTGAGTTCTTCACACAGCCAGGAAAGCTTGGGTAAAAAGAACCAAGGGATCATGGTAGCCGCTCACACAAAGCTTTAGAGGGGAAGATGCCTTCTTTTAGGGTTCAAAGCACATTTCTCATTCTTGAAAATGGATAGCAGATTTATCAGGAGGCGTTGGGAGTGGCCTGTGCAGTGAAGGATTAACCTTGACTGAAGATAGGTTTCATCTTTTGTGCCCCAACTTGGGAGGTAACTTCGAAGCCACTGGGATGTTCTGGCAGATAAGAATGCCTTTGTTGCCGGGCGCGGTGGCTCATGCCTGTAATCCCAGCACTTTGGGAGGCTGAGGCGGGTATATCACGAGGTCAGGAGATCAAGACCATCCTGGCCAACACGGTGAAACCCCGTCTCTACTAAAAATACAAAAAATTAGCCGGGCATGATGGCAGGTGCCTGTAGTCCCAGCTACTCAGGAGGCTGAGGCAGGAGAATGGCGTGAACCCGGGAGGCGGAGCATGCAGTGAGCCAAGATTGCGCCATTGCACTCCAGCCTGGGCGACAGAGCGAGACTCCGTCTCAAAAAAAAAAAAAAAAAAAAAAAAAAAGAATGCCTTTGTTTACCGAGGGGCTTTGGGCTATGCTAGATAGTCTCTTCTAACAGTAAGATTCATCCTGGGGACTTTGGGCCACATGATATTAATTTGACCTCTTGAGGGGCTAGAGACTAAGGTCAGCCTTATAGTTGTCAGACATATCTGTATTACCAACCTCCAATGAAAGCCCTGGATGCCAGGCCTCAGGCAGGTTGGTGATATTCCATACTTCATATCACACATTTTTGCTAGGAAAAAGAAACTTTGCTCACGATGCCACTGGGAGCAGATGACTGAGTGCTCTGTGCCTGGCCTCACCTGGACCATGCTCTATGAACCTTTTTGCATTACTAATTTTAATCAATATCATTTCACTGTAGTAACTATAGCCATGTGACCAGGCACGGTGGCTCACGCCTGTAATCCCAGCACTCTGGGAGGCCAGGGCAGGTGGATCACTTGAGGTCAGGAGTTCGAGACCAGCCTGGCCAACATGGTGAAACCCCATCTCTACTAAAAATACAAAAATTGGCCAGGTGTGGTGGTGCAGGCCTGTAATCCCAGCTACTCGGAGGCTGAGGCAGGAGAATCAGTTGAACCCAGGAGGCAGAAATTACAACCAGCTGAGATCGTGCCACTGCACTCTAGCCTGGGTGACAGACAGAGACTCTATCTCAGAAAAATAAAATAATAAAATAAAATAAATAAAATAAAATAAAATAAAATGAATAAACTGTAGCCATGAGTATAACTGCTTTGCTGAGTTCCATGAATCCTAGCAAACTATTGAACCTGAAGGTAATCTTGGAGATATTCCCAAAGCATAATTATAAATAAAGTTTTGTGACTAGTGTTTCTTCACTTAACAATAGAGCATAATTGCATTTTATATTATTAAACATTTTCCATCATTTAAATGGCATATATCCAATATATGGCTATCCTCAAACTTACTTTACTATTATTAATTTACCTGCCCTACTACATTACTTTATTATTGGACCTTTAGATAGTACCCGAATTTTCCCTATGGAAATATTGCTGAAAATAACAATTATAAGTAGATGTATTTGTTTGTCCATCATTTTGACTTTATAACAAATTCCTAGAAGTGGGATACTCCATCAAATGGTACGCATATTTGTTTCATATTGCCAAAGAGTCTTCACAAATATTTTCCCAGTTTACATTTCTCATACCCTTGACAATTCTGTGCATTAGCATTTTTCCATTTCTGCCAAATTAAGAGGTGGAAAATGCTATCTGAATATTAGTTGAACTTGCTTTAATTTGCACTTCATTGATTACTAATGGGAGTGGACAGCTTTTTCAGATGTTTTTATTAGTCCTTTGAGAACTCCCTGTCATTTAGGAGATTCTCGATCTTTTTTTTTTTTTTTCCAGTTTGCACCAATTCACACTCCCACCAGCAGTATTTGAGAATTCCTGATTAGAAAAGGGCCGTATTGGTGTGAGCTGGACTCACTGGGGTGGACCCAGCAGGTGAGGCTGGGGTTTGAATAGACGGGCATTTTCATCAGGGAAACCTGCATGTAGTGAGAGGCAGGTATATTTCAGAACCTGAGGATAAAGCAGCTGGGTGGGAGCAGAGGGTGGGTCAGGTTGAGCAAGAAACAGCAGAGCTGGCTAGACGGGCCTCAAGGTGGAAAGACTTGAGTCATAGCCAGACCACTTATCCTGTGGACAGCAATAACCCACAACAGGTCCCTATGCAAGGGAACAATTTATAACTATTGACTTTCTTGCTTAACCAAATATTTAAATTCTCAACATGTGTGGTATTGCTAAAAAGTCTGTTTTAATTTTTATCTTCCACCCACCCAATCTCCCAAGCCTCCATCTGCTCAACTCTGCTCCTCAAACACATATCCATATCGCAGTACCTATACCACCAACACTACCATGGTATGTACTACATACACACTCACATACACATGTACACATAACACACATGCACACACACAAATATACACACTCACATACACACACGCACACACATACACACACAAGCACACAAACATACACACATAAACACACTCACATACACATATACACATTCACACATATACATACACTCACACATATATACATACACATGCACACATATACAAACATACATACACACATACACAACATATACACACAAGCACATATACACACATGCATACACACATGCACACACAACACACACATGCACACAAACACATACACATTTACACATGCATGCACACACAATACACACTGTACACACATATACACATACATGTACACATACACTAACATGTTTCGAGAAGTCAGGGACCCCAAATGGAGGGATCAGCTGGAGCTGCAGCAGAGGAACATAAATTGTGAAGATTTCATTTTAATATGGACATTTATCAGTTCTCAAATAATGCTTTTATAATTTCTTATGCCTGTCTTTAATCTCTTAATCCTGTTATCTTTGTAAGCTGAGGATGTACATCACCTCAGGACCACTGTGATAATTGTGTTAACTGTATAAATTGATTGTAAAACATGTGTGTTTGAACAATATGAAATCAGTGCACCTTGAAAAAGAACAGAATAATAGCAATTTTTATGGAACAAAGGAAGACAACCATAAGGTCTGACTGCCTGCAGGGTCGGGCAAAAAGAGCCATATTTTTCTTCTTGCAGACAGCCTATAAACGGACGTGCAAGTAGGAAACATATCGCTAAATTATTTTCCTAGCAAGGAATATTAATATTAATACCTTAGGAAAGGAATGCATCCCTGGGGGAAGGTCTATGAACGGCCGCTCTGGGAATGTCTGTCTTGTGCAGTTGAGATAAGGACTGAAATAAGGCCTGGTCTCCTGCAGAACCCTCAGGCTTACTAGGGTTGGGAAAACTCAGCCCTGGTAAATCTGTGGTCAGACCAGTTCTCTGCTCTCGAACCCTGTTTTCTGTTAAGATGTTTATCAAGACAATACGTGCACCGCTGAACATAGACCCTTATCAGTGGTTCTTCTTTGCCCTTTGCCCTGTGATATTTGTGAGACCCTTATCAGTGGTTCTGCTTTTCGCCCTTTGAAGCATGTGATCTTTGTACCTACTCTCTGTTCTTACACACACCCCCCTTTTGAAACCCTTAATAAAAACTTGCTGGTCTGAGACTCGGGCGGGCATCACGGTCCTACCGATATGTGATGTCACCCCTGGCGGCCCAGCTGTAAAATTCCTCTCTTTGTACTATCTCACTTTATTTCTCAGCCGGCCGACACTTACGGAAAATAGAAAGAACCTACATTGAAATATTGGGGATGGGTTTCCCCAATACTAACACACATACACACACATGCACACACAACACATACACACAAGCACACATATATGCACACTCATACACGCATACACATGCACACACAACACATACACACAAGCACACATATGCACTCATACACGCATACACATGCACACACAACATACACACAAGCACACATATATGCACACTCATACACGCATACACATGTACACACATGCACACATACAAACATACACATACACACTCACATACACAAACACACACGTGCACACATGCACAGATGCACACACATACACACATATACACACTTATACAGGTGTAAAAATATACACACATACACATATATACACATAAACACTGACATATACCACATGCACACACATATACATGCACAAACATGCACACACATACACACACATACACATACATACTCATGAATGCACGCACATACACACATACATAAATACACACACGTACATACATATACATATGCACATACATACATATGCCTACCCACCCATTTTGCCATCCAGTGGGCCCTTCTGGTTTGAATGTCCTTGTTCCACTTTTTCACCTTTAGAATAAAGATACCTTCTTTACCCTAAAGGTGTAGAATAAAGTCCTACAAATCTTTTAAGGCCACAGTCTGCTTGTTCATATCCTTGGGAGCTCAGTTACAAGCTGTACCACGATGTGTCTGTTTCCTTATCAGTCTACCTGCTGACAAAGATTAAGACCAATTCTGTTTTGTGGTTGTCATAGTCATTAGGAACCGATCTTTCCTAGAACTCTCCAAGCCTTAGTGGTCTGATTTGAGGGTCCCTAGGGAAGCTTTCCCACCTGAGAATTTCACACATTTGCCAATAAACCAGAAATTCTACTTCTTTTGAGTCTCAGTGGGTTTTCATTTTCCAGCTTCTCCTAATAAACTGAAAGTGCTCTTACTGTCAATCTCTCATCAGCTAATATTCTGATCATTGGCCCATATCTAAGTGGTGATCAGACAACAGCTCGGCTTTGCCTGAGTGCAGGTGAGTCGGGCAAGGACAAAAGAACGTGCACACTAGGACTTCACCTGTGTTGCTGCTTCCTGGCAGCAGACTCTGAAGGGAGAGTAACAGATGCCCACAACTGGAATCAAAATTTAATCTGGAGGCCAGGCACAGTGGCTACTGCCTTAATCCCAGCACTAGAGGCCAAGACAGGTAGATCACTTGAGGCCAGAAGTTGGAGACCAGCCTGGTCAACATGGTGGAACCCCATCTCTACTAAAAATACAAAAATTAGCTGGGCATGGTGGCTCACGCCTGTAGTCCCAGCTACTCGGGAGGCTGAGGCACAAGAATTGCCTGAACCCAGGAGGCGGAGGTTGCAGTGAGCCGAGATCACACCACCACACTCTAGCCCGGGTGACAGAGCAAGACTCTGTCTCACATAATAATAATAATAATAATAATAATCTGGAAAATAGCTGCAGAAGTAGCTCCAGCATGCATATTGGTCCCTGAGTTTCAATTCTCAATACATCATATTAAATGCCTCCATCCTCTTTACACTAACCTGGATCAAAAAAGAGAAGAACTGGCATCCTGTGGACAGTAACTGTCCAGAAAGTCTTGAGATAAATTTATTCATAAAACCAGGCATCCCAGTGAATCTGTTGGGCCATTTTTTAATAACTTCCATGTCTTCATCTTAAATAACACGTATTTCACAGTTCACTCCTGTCTTCCATCCTACTCCCTCCTTTTGTTCTTTCTGTGTAACTTTCTTTATCCATGGCCTAAGCGCTGAGGATACAGAGGTAAATGCTGTCACCTTTCACAGACTCTCAGTCCGTCCCTCTCGTAATCCCTTCCCCATGGTGTTGTCTGTCACTCATGGCTCTTTGTGTGGGTGTGCGCATTGCCGTGTGATGCAATTCCCTCATCTTCTCATGAAAACACACGCACAGCCAAGTTGACTCTATCATCCATGCTTGTCAGAAGCAGGGAGGCCTTTGCGTGACTCTCCTCTGGGTTACAGGAAAGACATAAACATGAAAAATGTGCTTTTAATTGTATTTGCTTGCACTCCTACTCAAGTCTATTCTTTTTTTTTTTTTTTTTTTTTTTTAAGACAGAGTCTCGCTCTGTCACCAGGCTGGAGTGCAATGGCGCGACCTCGCCCCATTACAACCTCCACCTCTCGGGTTCAAGCAATTCTCCTACCTCAGCCTCCCGAGTAGCTGGGGCTACAGGCATGCGCCACCACACCCGGCTAATTTTTGTATTTTTAGTAAAAACGGGGTTTCACTATATTGGCCAAGCTGGTCTCGAACTCCTGACCTCGTGATCCGCCCACCTCGGCCTCCCGAAGTGCTTGAATTACAGGCATGAGCCACTGCACCCGGCCCAAGTCTATTCTTAAAAGCCAGAAGAAGGGGCCCAGCGCGGTGGCTCACACTTTTAATCCCAGCACTTTGGGAAGCCAAGGCAGGTGGATCACCTGAGGTCAGGAGTTCGAGACTAGCCTGGCCAACATGGTGTAACCCCGTCTCTACTAAAAATAAAAAATTAGCTGGGTGTGGTGGCGTGCTCTTACAGTCCCAGCTACTCAGGAGGCTGAGGCAGGAGAATCGCTTGAACCCAGGATGAGGAGGTTGCAATGAGCTGAGATTATGCCACTGCACCCCAGTCTGGGCAATAGAGTGAGACTCCATCTCAAAAAAAAAGGAGAAAAAAAAAAGCCGGAAGAAGGACCCATTAACAGCAATCACAGCCCCACAACCAGCACTGAGGCAACAACAAGGATCTCTGGTTCTAATTTTTCTTCCCAAAATCCTCTGGAGGCAGCGCTGAAGACACCTTACAGCAGGGGGGTGATTAAGTCAATTTCCGGGAAACAAGCCAACAGGTTGCGTTGTGGTTTAGAACAAAAACCTTGATTAAATAAATTAGAGTCTTGGGAGCCCTCTTTCTCTGAACCCCAATTCCATGGTACTCATACTAAGATGCTTCAGTTCAATTCTGCAAATGTTTATTGAGCGCCTGCTATGTGGCAAGCACAGTGCATGGCGCTGGAGCTAATGAGTGATAGAGCCTCTTCTCTCTAGAAGCTCATCCTGACAGGCAGACAGGACACACCCTAAGTGACTCTATTACTCAGTAGCCTATAGTAGGTGCTAATTTAAGGGTTCAAACAGAAGTGCAATGAGGAAAGACAGAAAGGAAACAGTAATCAGAGAGGCAGTGGAGCTTAAGAGGTAGGAATTGGAACCCAGAGCCAGTGGACTGGCTCAACACTCTCAACCATTTGACTTAATCTCATTAATCCTCAACTTCCTCACCTGTAATATCAGCATAATTCTAGTAACATCCTTATTGTGTTATTCTGGAAAGGATTTTTAAAACGGTGGATGTGTCCTTCTCAGCACAGTGCCTGGCACATAGTAAGTGCTCAGCGTAAATATTAGATAGCAGCAGGGCAGCACACAATAACTTCTTTGAAAATTATTATAATAGGATTTTCTATGACCTCTGAATGTTAATTTTAGAAATGTTCTTAATTATGGAGGAATCTCAAAAGACTTCCTGGTTCCAGTTCTTCCTAGGTGTCCAGCTGCCAACTCCCCCTGCAGATCCAGGGACTTGCGGGCTCTCTAACTGTGTGAGCCAATTCCTGAGAATACATTTCTGTCTCTATGTATACATCCTATGGATTCTGTTCCTCTAGAGAACCCCGAGGAATACAAGTACGGTTTACATCTGAAAACGGAGCACATCCCTCCCCAGGCAGGGTTTGGGTAACTTTTCTCCGAAGTCATGACCTAAATGCAAAATAACTGGGCCAAAAAGGAAGTCCATCAAAAGGATAGACTTTTTGGAATTTTTCCTGTAAGTCTCTATTAGTTTCTTAAGGCTAAATAAATTGGGATATCATAAAAAGTACTTTTCATGCTTTTCTGATAAATCCAGGAAAAGATATGGGAGAGATATAGATATATAGATATACATTTGGTTAATGTCAGTCAAGTGTTGTGAGAAACGGCCTCTCGTCAAGAATATCCCAGTGGGCAGCTCAGGCTCCTGGGTTGCCTAGCATGCTGCCCTGTGACACTGTGTGGTCACTTAGCACTCCAAATCCCGCTCTGCCAAATACCTCTAATATTGCTTCCAGCTCCACAATGCCAAAATAAAGCTCTATGAAATGTACACTAAATATAAATAGAAATAATTACACATTTGTGACTGCGCATCGATTTACAGATTTATAGACCCATCACTCAAAGCTTGATATCGGCATCAACTGACATTTGGTAGCAGCAGTTATCTCAGTTCTTAAGGCTTCCTGATGCTGGCTACAAAGCTTATGTGCTTTATGTGAGATCCAATTTTTTTTTACTTTTTACATGTTTATTTATTACTTATTTTTTAAAGAGACAGGGTCTTGCTACGTTGCTCAGGCTGGAATGCATGATAAAACCCCATCTCTACCAAAAATACAAAAATTAGCTGGTTGTGGTGGTGAGCACCTGTAGTCCTAGCTACTCAGGAGGCTAAGGCAGGAGAATCACTTGAACCCAGGAGGTAGAGTTTGCAGTGAGCTGAGATCACGCCACTGCACTCCAGCCTGGGCAACAGAGTGAGACACCATCTCCAGAAAGAAAACAAAATAAAAATAAAACTGATGGCAATAGGTGAATAACACGGAAGCAGAGCAACATGAAAAAAAAAAATCTATATATGAAATTAGATCGAAAGAGAGCCCATGAAGACCTCTCTGGCACAGGTCACAATCAATACATAAGCCTCGGCCTCAAACTTCACACTCATCAATTCACAAGATGTCAAACTCCTGTCCACCACATACTGCAACCAAAGGGTGAGGAGTGCTATTGTCTCATCTGAGGCTGGGGAAACCCGGCACTCAATCGTATGTACTCCTACATAATCATCAAACAGATTTGTGCAGTGGTGTCTGCAGAGTGCTCAGCGGTCCATGGAGGTTTATTTATTTATTTTTTATTTTTTTTTGAGACAGAGTCTCACTCTGTCATCCAGGCTGGAGTGCAGTGGTGCAATCTCAGCTCACTGCAACCTCTGTTTCCCAGATTCAAGCGATTCTCCTGCCTCAGCCTCCCGAGTAGCTGGGATTACAGGCACGTGCCACCACGTGTGGTTAATTTTTGTATTTTTAGTAGAGACAGGGTTTCGCCATATTGGCCAGGCTGGTCTCGAATTCCAGACCACAAGGCCGATCCGTCCGCCTCGGCCTCCCAAAGTGCTGGGATCACAGGCATGAGCCACCGCGCCTGGCCGTCCACAGAGGTTTAGAGGCCACCGTGGAAGAGGGGAGAAAAACACAGAGAACACCATCTGTGTCTGCTTCCTGGGTGCGCCAGAACAAAGATGAACTTATTGTCTCACAGTTCTGGAATCTGGGAAGTCCAAGATCAAGGTGTTGGCAGGACTGGTTCCTTCTGAGAGCCGTGAGGAAGAATCTGTCCGGGCCTCTCTCCTCTTCCGATGGTGTGCTGGCCGTCTTTGGTGTTCCTTGGCTTAAAGAAGCATCACCTCAATCTCCGTCTTCATCCTTACATGGCATTTTCCCTGTACATGTGACTGTGTTTATACTGCCCCCCACCTTTTTTTTTTTTTTTTTAAGACAGAGTCTCCCTCTGTTGCCCCTGCTGGTGTGCTGTGGCACAAACTCAGCTCACAGCTCACTGCAACCCTCACCTCCTGGGTTCGAGTGATTCTCCTACCTTGGCCTCCCGAGTAGCTGGGACTAGAGTTGTGAGCCACCACAACCACACCTGGCTACTTTTTGTATTTTTAGTAAAGACAGGGTTTCACCATGTTGGCCAGGCTGGTCTTGAACCCCTAACGTCTGATGATTCGCCCATTTCATCCTCCCAAAGTGCTGGGATTACAGGTGTGAGCCACCATGCCTGGCACTTCCCCCTTTAATAAGGACATCAGTTATGTCAGACGAGGTCCCACTCTCATGACTTCATCTTCATCAATTACATCTGTAACAACTCTATTTCCAAATAAGGTCATGTTGGAGGTACTGGGAGTTAGGACTTCAACATATGAATTGGGAGGGGGCGGGGCACACAATTTAACCCATAGCCCTCTCCTGCTTCAAAGCCTGTATGAATATGTAAACTCACATTTTAGAAGTGCATTTTTGGCCGGGTGCGGTGGCCCACACGTGTAATCTCAGCACTTTGGGAGGCTGATGCAGATGGATCATGAGGTCAGGAGATCAAGACCATCCTGGCTAACACGGTGAAACCTTGTCTTTACTAAAAATACAAAAAATTAGCCGGGTGTGGTGGCAGTCGCCTGTAGTCCCAGCTACTCCGGAGGCTGAGGCAGGAGAATGGCGTGAACCCGGGGAGCAGAGCTTGCAGTGAGCCGAGATGGCGCCACTGCACTCCAGCCTGGGCGACAGAGCGAGACTCTGTCTCAAAAAAAAAAAAAAAGTGCATTTTTATTTTGAATTAGTATAAGACTCACAAGAAGTTGCAAAAATAGTGCCAGGAGGTCTCACACACCCTTCACCCAAAGATTGCTTATGTAACGCTAGTTAGTACATTGTAGAAAGCAGGAAATTGATATTGGTATGATGCTGTTAACTCTGGAACAGATCTTACTGATCAACTTTTACATACAAATTTTCAAATCTGTTTTTTAAGTCCAACAATAATAAGAAAAAATAATAACTACATGTTTTAAAAGATACAAAATGAGAATAGTACCAGTAAAACATGATTTCTTAATGTAAAATATCAAAATATAATGTACTTGGTTTCAAGAGCAGCAAATTCTGGCATTTGAACTACAGTACTTGATTTGGGTTTATAAAATGTTAGCAGGCTATTGAGGCAGAGGTCCAGAAGATGAAATATTTTCCTATTATTTCACTGGATCAATAAACTCTGCTTTGTGTTCAAAGCCTCTCAGCTCAGTGCTTTGCAACGGTTCACTTTCATTTCTCCTCCATTTCCCCTCCAGAAACCAAGGTCATCTCCCTCCACCATTCGGTCTTAGCAGCTAAGCCCTAATCCTCACAATTATTAGAGGAATTGTTCTTAGGTCACTATTCTGTTTCTACTAACTTTTTGGAAAATGCAAGATGTAGTGTATTGGGGAGGGGCAACCACAAAATTCCTGAAATGGGCCTGGCGCGGTGGCTCACGCCTGTAATCCCAGCACTTTGCAAGGCCGAGGCAGGCGGATCACGAGGTCAGGAGATTGAGACCGTGCTGGCTAACACGGTGAAACCCCATCTCTACTAAAAATACAAAAAATTAGCCGGGTGTGGTGGCGGGCACCTGTAGTCCCAGCTACTCGGGAGGCTGAAGCAGGAGAATGGCGTGAACCCATGAGGCAGAGGTTGCAGTGAGCAGAGATCACGCCACTACACTCCAGCCTGGGCGACAGAGCAAGACTCTGTCTCAAAAAAAAAAAAAAAAATTCCTGAAATGAATTTAGATCTGAAATTCCAAATTCTCCCATGAGAAGAGTGGGGATTTGAGATTTCTAAGGTATAGATTTTACAAGTTACTCCTTCCCAAAGAACCCATGCCCACCAAGACCATGATGAGGTGAAGAGAATCCTGAAGTTACACCAAGGGAAAGGAAGTCCCCCACAGCAAGAGAGGCCAGGCAACTGGAAGGCAAGAAAGATGAGGAATGAAGCAAACCTCAGAAGGCACATTTGGATAAAAAACTGACAGAATATGCCCTTCCCACTCTAGATTAGGTGAGAGGGCAAGGTTGAGTGAGTGGGCATTGGAATGGCTAAAGATGGGCAGGGGAGGGTTGTAGGAAGAGGACACGTTCATGTCTTCCACAGACCTGGCTCAAGGTTAATTATAATACCTTTGCAAAGTTGAACCTGACCTTCCTGTACCCACCTAGAGCTCCCACTCCAAGTAACCACTTAGCCATTCCTGTTCCTGGGAGGATTTACAGGGAAAATTGTGATTGGGTCTCATCACCATCAATGGCATCCCATTTTGTTATTATGTTTTAAATCATCAATTTGTGCCAATATTGATAGAATTAGTGAGACAGTAAGTACCCTACCTGTCGGGGAGAAAGCAATACTTACCTTGACAACCTGAGGAGGCCGCACTGGGTATGTATGGTACAGATGCTAACTGAACTTTAAAGGGGTCAGTACATTCAGTGAATATATATTGAGCCTGTGCGGCATGTCAGGCTCTCCTTTAGGCTTTGGACATACAGCAGTGAAAAAGACAAACCATTTTTTGACCTTGTGGAACTTATCATCTAAGGGGAGCAAACAAATAACAAATACCTAAATGTATAATGTAACGCCAGAAGTAATGTGTGTCATAAAAAAGAAAGCAGTGTAAAGAGAAAAAGAAAAGCCAGGCACAGTGGTGCACGCCTGTAATCCCAGCACTTTGGAGGGCCAAGGTGGGCAGATCGCTTGAGCTCAGGAGTTCAAGACCAGGCTGGGTAACATGGCAGAATCCCATCACTACAAAAAACAGCTGGGCAGTACAAAAATTAGCCAGGCATGGTGGTGAGCACCTGAAGTCCCAGCTACTTGGGAGGCTGAAGTGGGTGGATCACGTGGGCCTGGGAGGTGGAGGTGGCAGTGAGCCAAGATCATGCCACTGCACTCCAGCCTGGGTGACAGAGCCAGACCCTGTCTTGCAAAGAAAAAAAAAAGAAAAAACAGAACGAGAAAAAGGAGGAAGGTGCTGGTTTAGATTGGGTGGCCCTTCTTTGAGGAAGAAGGAGGCATTTGAGCAGGGACCTGAGTGACGTGAGATAGCCAGGCAAGTGGTCTAGGCAGAGGGAACCATAGGTGCAAAGGCCCTGGGGCAGCAGCCAGCTTACTTAGGGAAACTGGAGGGACAGGTGAGTGAGTGAGGATATGAAGCCACGGGATAGCCAGGAGCCTGGTCACATTGGACCTCCTGGTGAAGATTTTGGATTTTGTGCAAATGTTTGTAGAAAGCCATAGGAGGATTTTGAACAAGGGAGTGACAAAAACATATTTCGGTTTTAAGTAAAACAGAAGTAGATGAAATGACACTAGTTAGAGGGCTAGTCCAGCAGTTGCAGGGAGAGATGGCAGTGGCTTGAAATGAAGCTGTAGCAGAAGTGGCTGAAGCAGCCAGATTTAGGATATATCTTGTAGGTAAAGGCAGCAGGACCTGCTAATGGATCGAATAGAAGGTGTGAAACAAGGAGAAGAATCTAAGATTCATACTGCGTTTTGAGTATGGTATCACTGATTGCAGTGGGAAACTCAAGTTCTGTTGGCTTTCTGAAATGTGAGGTGTTATTAGTCATCTCAGAGAATGTGTCCCGTAGGCAATCGGGGTGCCCGTTAACAAAGCCTTGTAAAATGACTCACAAAAGAAACAAATTGGGCCGGTCGTGGTGGCTCACGCCTATAATCTCAGCACTTTAGGAGGCCGAGGCAGGTGGATCACCTGAGGACAGGAGTTCGAGGCCAGCCTGGCCAATGTGGGGAAACCCCACCTCTACGAAGAAAACATCAAAAAAAAAAATTATCTAGGCATGGTGGCACACACCTGTAATCCCAGCTATTCGGGAGGCTAAGGCAGGAGAATCACTTGAACCTGGGAGCGAGAGGTTGCAGTGAGCCGAGATTGCACCACTGCATCCCAGCCTGGGCAACGGAGCAAAACTCCATCTTAAAAAAAAAAAAAAAAAAAAAGAAACAAACAAACAAACAAATTAGGAGATGCTTAATTGTGAGATATACTGGATTAATAAGAAAGGTGAAGCCAGCTCAAATTACAGGGGCCCATTATCCTAAAGTCCAGTACTCTTTTCCCCGGGGTCTGTCTCCAGAGTGTGAGTGTGAAGCAGTCTGCACCACCCTACTCTGGCCCCGTGGACTTAATCGTGGCATCTGAGGCTGGTTCTGCCTTTCAGTCTGCCTGGCTGCGATGTTGAGTCCTACCTGCGTATCGCCACACTTTCCCCTGCAGGGAGCCTCCTTCCATCCCTAAGCAGCCAGCTGCAGTCCTGCTCCAAAAGGACAGGACGCTCAGGATCTAGGAAATGAGCGTTTTCCAAACACCAGGTTGAATCCCTTGGAACTGAAACTAGACTCAGTCAAGCTCAAGTTCATCACATCCCTTTGGGCAGCCAGCTACCCCCAACCCTACTACACTCACACCCACCAGGTCCCATTCACCCCGGCCAGAGCACTGAATTTCAGCAACCCTACCCCATACAGCGTCTGACGCTGCAGTTTCTTTAAACATTTGGTGCACTTGCAACAGAAATTGAATTTCTGAAAACCATTTTCACACAATTTGTCAAGTCACATATGCTGGGAGAAGAGAAACCCACCTGTAGCAGAATAATTTTATTTCTGTTTATTTTAAAATAAGGAGGAGAAAGCTATCTGATTTCAGGCTTTCTTGGGAATCTTATCCTAGTAATTTGGACAAATGGCTGGTATCTAGATAGCAACAAATCTATTTCTGATAATTAACCGACAGTGAAAAATACTAAGGTCCCACCATTTGTCATTTGAAGTGAACTATGTGCCCTGCTGGAGGGAGTGTCATTACGCAGCTGCCGAGCTAGCAAACAAAACTAGAACATCTCCAGAGAAGTTTCTAACCTTGGCTCCAATTCCTTAGATGAACTTCTGTGACTCTCACTGCGGAAAACTCCAGAGGACTTTTGTCTGTCCTCTGCCCAGATCTGACACGGGTAGGAGCACGATGCAGCTCTCCCCAGGTGATCAGCTGTCCCCAGAAGACAATATGGCACCAGACGGTCTTTCTCGAATGCTTGGAGAGGCAAAGCGATGGCCAAGGGTTTCCACTGAAGCTGCCATCAGGACAGGAGTGAATGCAGGGTCCTTCTTTGTGATTTTGACCTTCACCGACCTTGATTATTCAATGTGACCTTTCCCTGGACCTACGTCATCCCTTTCAAGAACGTTATTCCCATTTACCATTCTCTGGGTACACAGTTCAGCATAATTTTATTTTTAGACCTATGTCTAGAGACTAACTTTAAGATAATGTTCATAAAAAGTTATAAATTCCTACTGAAATGTATATGGTCATAAATTTTCCTTCCCTTCTGTTTCACAGCTGTTGCCTCCAAAATGCTGTTTTCAATTTATTCGCAGTCCCACCTTCTTCTTTCTTTCGCCCAAACCCTTTCAGTTTGAATCCACAGGACACTGACAGTTAAGTCACCCTTTGTCAAGTGGATGAATGTGCACACTTGCATTTTTCTGGAGCCACCAAGCATATCAAATCCTGTGTGAAGAGAATTCCCAGTCTTTCTTTCCGGCTGCCCCAGCTGACAACAGGGGGTCTTCACTGAGAGACCCTCTCTCTGGGCAGCTTCAGTGAGAGCCACATTTCCAGTTCCAGGGCTGTGAGGTGCTGTCAGAAAGCCGCAGAGAGCAGGTCGGCGTGGGTGGTAACACATCCCAGAGGGTCAGGCACAGCAAGACCTCCCTCTTTGTCTCCACAGACTCCAACTTAAAGACCACAGCCACACAGCGGACTAAATTAGAGAGTAGGCACTTGAGATTCCCTAAAGAAAGACACTGCAGAACTACAGGGTATCCACCATATTTATGGCATCCAAAATGCCTTGTGATCTATAGAAATCTGTCTTCTCCGCTTCTTCCCTTCATCTTCCCTTCCATGGCTGTAAAACTTCATTTCCCACAATTGGGACTGAATGAAAGAGGACTCCAATAAAAAGAGGGAGAATAGCCAATTTGACACCACTGTGCAGAGTGATCAGATGCATTCAGCTCTGATAAAGGAGAGGACTCGGAGAGAGGCGGGCCCAGGAACCCATGGCTGTCTGTTAGTGGAGAGTTTATTCACCCAGATGTTGGGTGCCTGTTGCTGTAAGAGGAGCTTAGGAATCAGAGATGAATGTGGTTGTCAAGGAATTATGTGTTCTGGCTACTTATTACGAGATATGTGGCCTGAGATAATTACTCAACCTCTTGAGCCTCTGTTTTCTTTTCTGACAAATGGGAAGAATTAAATCCATCACTACACGTAAAGAGACTTTCCAAGTGACTACAAGTGACTACAAATATTAGTCATTATTTGTATTAAAAATAAACTCCTAGACCAGGCACGGTGGCTCACGCCTGTAATCCCAGCACTTTGGGAGGCCGAGGCAGGCAGATCACTTGAGGTCAGGAGTTCAAGAACAGCCTGGCCAACATGGCAAACTCCATCTCTACTGAAAATATAAAAAATTAGGCCGTGCATGGTGCTCACGCCTGTAATCCCAGCACTTTGGGAGGCTGAGGTGGGTGGATCATGAGGTCAGGAGATCGAGACCATCCTGGCTAACACGGTGAAACCCCATCTCTACTAAAAAGACAAAAAATTAGCCGGGCGTGGTGGCAGGTGTCTGTAGTCCTAGCTACTCAGGAGGCTGAGGCAGGAGAATGGCGTGAACCCGGGAGGTGGAGCTTGCAGTGAGCCGAGATCGCGCCACTGCACTCCAGCCTGGGCAACAGAGCAAGACTCCATCTCAAAAATAAATAAATAAATAAAAATGTTAAAATTAGCCAGGTATAGTGATGCATGTCTGTAATTCCAGCTACTCAGGAAGCTGAGGCATGAGAATCACTTGAACCTGGGAGGCCAAAATCGTGCCACTGCACTCCAGCCTGGGTGATGGACTGAGACTCTGTCTCAAAGATAAGAAATTATTTTTATTTTTACTTTTATTTTATTTTTTCAGATGGAGTCTCGTTCTGTCGCCCAGGCTGGAATGCAGTGGCGCGATCTTGGCTCACTGCAAGCTCCACCTCCCGGGTTCATGCCATTCTCCTGCCTCAGCCTCCCGAGTAGCTGGGACTACAGGCACTCACCACCACGCCCAGCTATTTTTTGTATTTTTAGTAGAGACAGGGTTTCACCATGTTAGCCAGGATGGTCTCGATCTCCTGACCTCGTGATCTGCCCGCCTCAGCCTCCCAAAGTGCTGGGATTACAGGCATGAGCCACCGCGCCCGGCCATAAATTATTTTTAAAAATAAAAAATAAATAAACTCCTGGAGTCCCATAAGAGAGGTGTAGGAGTTCAAAGGAAAGGAGATTTTCTTTAGGTGGGGTAATCAGGAAGGGTTCATGGGAAAAGCAGTTTGTGAATGGATCCTTGAAGGATTTGTAGGGTTTAGCCAGGCAATTATGAGGAAAGAGAATCGGCCGGGCGCGGTGGCTCACGCCTGTAATCCCAGCACTTTGGGAGGCCGAGGCGGGCGGATCACGAGGTCAGGAGATCGAGACCATCCCGGCTAAAACGGTGAAACCCCGTCTCTACTAAAAATACAAAAAATTAGCCGGGCGTAGTGGCGGGCGCCTGTAGTCCCAGCTACTTGGGAGGCTGAGGCAGGAGAATGGCGTGAACCCGGGAGGCGGAGCTTGCAGTGAGCCGAGATCACGCCACTGCACTCCAGCCTGGGCGACAGAGCGAGACTCCGTCTCAAAAAAAAAAAAAAAAAGAGAATCAGTAACAACATGTGGGCAGCAAACAATGAAGCTCAGATGGACAAAAACAGGGAATTGTTCCCAACTAGGGTTTCTGAATTATGAAAATGATTCTTATATAAGTGAAGCCCCTCAAATCAACTTTCATTGCACTGCTTCCTACGTTCCATGCACCACGCTGCTGCCTTGAAGGCGTGGCTTCAGCTGACCCTCTCAGCCCCCATATTAGCTCAGTCTCTCTAATGCTCCTATTTACAAAGAAACAAGCACAATTTCCCACGGTCCCACTTCCAGCGAGTGGTGGCATCAGAATTTGAGCCCAGTTGTTCTGACCAGCAGATCCCATGTATTTAAATGGAATCCTTGGGGAGGATCATTGCAAGAAAGACCAGTGTTACAGGCTGAAGTGTGACCTCCCACCCCAAAATTCATATGTTGAAGCCCTAACCCCCAGTACCTCAGCTGTGACTATATTTAGAGATGGGGAGGGAATTTAGGTAAAATGAGGTCATCAGGATGGGTCCCCATCCAACATAACTGGTGTCTTTATGAGAAGGGAAGGTTAGGACGCAGACACACACAGAGGGAAGACCGGGTGAGGATAATGGGGAGAAGGCGGCCACTTACCGGCAAAAGAGAGAGGGCTCAGGAGAAACCGACACCGCCAGCACCTTGACCTCAGACTTCCAGCCTCCAGTACTGTGAGAAAGTAAACTTCTGCTGTTTAAACCCCCCAGTCTGTGGTCCTTTGTTATGGCATCCCGAGCAAACAGATACAACCTGTCATGGAAATCTCACATCAGCACAGGGAGACAAATCATTATTTAGATCTCAGAGCCACACAACTTGATCTGAACACCTTCCTCATCGTGGGAAAAAAGGGAGCCTTTTTTTTTTTTTTTTGAGACAAAGTAAGTCTTACTTTGTCACCCAGGCTGGAGTACAGTGGGGTGATCTCGGCTCACTGCAACCTCCTCCTCCTGGGTTCAAGTGATTCTCCTGCCTCAGCACTGAGTAGCTAGGATTACAGGCATGCACCACCATGCCCAGCTAATTTTTGTATTTTTAGTAGAGATGGGGTTTCGCCACGGTGGCCAGGCTGGTCTCAAACTCCTGACCTCAGACAATCCACCCGCCTCAGCCTCCCAAAGTGCTGGGATTACAGACATGAACCACCGCACCCTGGCAGGAAGTCAATTTTTATCTCCACGGACTTCAGAAAGCCCAAGTTTCAATATTTCGGGTTCCTGTCATTAGGCTCTTAGTTTTATAAGAACAGGAACAACTGGACATTTCACCAAGGGTAGAGTATCATGAGGCAGAGCCCTGTCCCTTAAACACTTTACTGTTTTTTTAGAAGATTCCAGGTGGAGCCATACCAGAACTGGGCAGGTGAAATCCTGCCTCAACCAGTCGCTGGAGGATTTATCTTGGAGAAAGCATTGCAGGGTCTGTGGTCGCAGTTTGGACTTTTTGACATTTGATTATTTGCACAATTAAAATTTATTTTAGGCCAGGCACGGTGGCTCATGCCTGTAATCCCAACACTTTGGGAGGCCGAGTCGGGTGGATTGCCTGAGGACAGGAGTTCGAGACCAGTCTGGCCAACATGGTGAAACCCCATCTCTACTAAAAATACAAAAAAAAATAGCCAGACATGGTGGCGTGCGCCTGTAATCCCAGCTACTCAGGAGGCTGAGGCAAGGGAATTGCTTGAACCAGGGCAGCAGAGGTTGCGGTGAGCCGAGATCCTGCCACTGCACTCCAGCCTGGGCGACAGAGCAAGATTCCCTCTCAGGAAAAAAAATAAATAAATATTTTAAAATTACAAAAACTTTTAATGATGGAGCTGGGTGTCTTGTGTATCCTCAGGTCAGAAGCAAAAGAGCCAGTTTGAATGCTCAACCCAAACTCCCTGGCTCTTCTGGGTTAGCCCATGTCCCGGAACTGCTGGAACATCTCTCACCCCATCTCCCGCTATTCGGTCCCACAAGTGCTGCTGTCACTCCTGCTCCTGTTAATACCGCCTCAGTGTCATCAACAGCAGGAAATTACAAAGGAATTCAAATGGAAAACTAATCCCTTACAGGAGACAAAGAGCATTAAAGACAAAGCCCATTGGAATGACTTTCATTTTTTTTCTGGTGCGTGCGTGCATGTGTGTGTGTGTATCTGTGTGTGTGTGTGCGCGTGTGTGTGTGCGTGTATGTATGTGCGTGTGTGTGTGTGTGTCTGTGGGGGGTGTGCATGTGTGTATCTGTCGGGGTGTATGCACAAAAAGCAAAGGAAAGAAAACATCACTCTTGAAGCTTTCCAGGCCCCAGAAGGCACACACCAACCACAAATCTAAGGCCAAAATCTTTCCTATTGTTCAACTATGTTTAACAACAATCCACAAAATTTAATAGAGCAATTTATAATCATGTTCAACAAACAATATATGTGCACTTTATATACCCCCCAAAATTAACATTTTTTTTGCAGTTTTTAGTTCCCCCAAATTTCTCTACCACCTTCCGGTCAATTTTAATTTCCCAAAGAGAAGAGCAACGTGACAGATTTTGAGAAACAGAAGAGACCCTTGACAACTGGGAGCCGGCCTGGCACACAGCTGGGAGCGGTGTCTTCCTGTTAAACAGGCGATTCCACAGAACACCAGCACGCAATCACTCTGTGACTAAGTGGAACAAGACAGGAGCAAGACCACTCCTTAATCATGTCTAAACACTGAAAAAAATAGAATCATTTGTCCAAATCACATAGAAACCAAACATCTCCCCATCCTGGTTAATATGGGTGACCTCTGCTCCTTTACCAGTAACAGCATGAGCCTCTATTCATTCCAACCCCTTGCAGATACTGTCTGTTAAAATATCTAATCACAAAATTTGCTTCCTGACAACATTCGGTCCAGAGCAAAGCTCTGCTTCCTTGGATCAGCCCCAGAACCACCAAATACAGCCCGAATCCTATATTAAGTCCTTCCTAGCACTCTCTTACTGAGGTGCCCCACAATTCTGCATGGGGTTCTCTCTGTTTGCAACAAATAAACCCAACATGTTCCACGACAGGTGTATTCCTGTAGTTCCTGCCCCTTTACTTCAAAATTGCACAATCCTTCTGTGTTAGCTGCAGTTACTCAGTTTACACAGAAGAGCCTCAGACCCAGTTCTCAACACATTCCACTTAAATTATAGCTTCTGGCCGGGCGCAGTGGCTCACGCCTGTAATCCCAGCACTCTGGGAGGCTGAGTTGGGTGGATCACAAAGTCAGGAGTTTGAGACCAGCCTGGCCATAGTGAAACCCCGTCTCTACTAAAAATACAAAAATTAGCCAGGCCTGGTGGCATATGCCTGTAATCCCAGCTACTTGGGAGGCTGAAGCAGAAGAATCGCTTGTTCCTGGGAGGCAGAGGTTGCAGTGAGCCCAGATTGTGCCACTACACTCCAGCCTGGGTGACAAAGCAAGGCTCTGTCTTGAAAAAAAAAAAAAAATTATAGCTTCTGAGGTCTCCTCAGCTGCTACTCCATCATTCAGTCAACAAACATTTGTTTACAGGGGTTTCTGTCTGCTATTTCTCTGGCAGCAAATCCTGGAGACAATAAGAATACCCAGGCTCTGACACTCTGTGGTCTTTATATATGACCAAGTATTAGAACTGAAGGGACCTCCCTTTTACAAATGATTAAACCGGTACTCAGAGAAGTTAAGTAGCTTGCCTAGAACCATTCATACTCTCTTTTGCATGCACGTAACCTGCTAAGGGCATGCTCCCAGGTCAGTAGAGAGGTGGGGGGAAAAGAACAGGGACGTGGAAGAAGCCAGTCAAGGATGGGCTTTTGGATAAAACCTGCGGAGAGTAGTTTCAAGCCAGTGGTTCCCAACTCAGGCAACTTTGCCCCCAGAGGACATTTAGCAGTAGCTGGCATATTCTTGATTGTCATGACTTTGAGAGAGGGTCCTACTGTCATCTGGTGGATAGAAGCCAGAGATGCAGCTCATCATCCACCAATGCACAGGCAGCCCCCCACAGCAAAGACGTGTCCAGTCTAAAATATCAGTCATGCTGATGCTGAGATATTCTGGCCTCCAATGCTGACAGAAAATGAAAGTTTGACAATTTGGGACCACATGCCTGAGCCCCAGGCCAGCTGGGCCTGGAGAACACTGAATTCCCTCTTGAGCAGCTGAGAGCCAAGCCCAAGCTTGCATGGAGTATTTGGAATCAGCTGAGGCATTTGACCATTTTGCAAATTCAACCAATGTTTATTAAGAGAGTGATTGGGTTATTTCCAGGCAAACTCTCCTCCTTTTTTAAAATTTGAAGTTTGATCTAAAAGTGAAAGTAGCACAATACAGGAGAAAGGGCCCGATCCTGACAGCCAGTTGAAACTGAGTCTGAATTTCAGAGTCATCATTTTCTCAATAATACGTCTTCAGGCGGGTTACTTACACTTTCCAAGTCTCTGTTTCCTCCCCTAAGAAATGGAGGTGATCTTGCCTTGTCTTAATAGTGTTGTTGTGAGAGTTAAAACAAAGCAATAAGTAAACAGAAGAAGAACACTGGACCACATAGGCACTGAATGGATGAGAGCTACTTTGAATTTAATCATTCTGTTAGGAACTGGTCAAATAAACCTTTGGCCTCCAGCATCCTGCCAACCATCTGGTCATTAGTCTCGTGCCCAGGCTTGGGGGGAAGTTCATAAGGGTGCATGAACTTCAACTTACCAAGGAGAACTGCATCCCAAAAATCTCATATTACACTACTCTGATTTCTGGCAGAAAAGAAAATGGAGCACATAGTAAAGAAGACAGAGTACACACACACACACACACACACACAAGGTCACAGAGGTCCCCCCTGCCGCCACCCCACAACTTCTGGATGGGCTGTAGTGAAGCCGTAGCATAGGGAAGCCCCTGGCCAGGGCAGAAGGAACAGCTGTCACACGGCTGAGATGATGCTGTCTTCTAACAAGGAAGCCCTGGCACAGCCAGATCAAAGGAGACATTCTTGTCCTGATGAAAGCCCGACGAAGCCTGACAGGTAAACTTTGGCTCTTCCAGCTAAGGCAGCAAATCCAAGTTTTCCTGGCCACAAGAGTTGGGACACTTCGTGCACAAAATCCCCATTCCCAGTTCTACCTGCAAAGCAAAAATATTCCACTTGCATGTTGCTTTTATCCGTATAAAGCCAAACTCGCCTGGCAGACTTGGATCCAAGGGTTGATGCGGGGCTCTGCAGTGGGGCATCTAGGAGAGGCAAAGCTGCCTGTTCCAGCCTGTCCCCAGGGCGTTCGTGTAATTCCAGACACTAGTAATTACTCAACCTTCCCCCTCACCCCAGGGCTTCCTCCAATCTGTAACAAGCCCCAAACCATCTGGAGACGAGCGGGATCCTCCCTGGCCTCCGCAGCTTCAGGACACATCCAAAGGAAGCTGCCATCGAGCATCAAACGGCTTTGCCAACAGATCACATTTCTGGAGCTCTCGCAGTCTGAAGGGATTCGAGATGACAGATGTAACCCACATGATCTATGACAGATACAGCCATGGAGAATGTCAGCGTTAATATTTAATATTATTTGAATAACTGCCCTGTTTGTCTCACTTAACATGGCAGGCACCGTGGGCTGGCAGCCCGTCTCCCCGGGTGTTTGGCGGGGAACGAAGCTTGTAGAAAATGCTCGGTCAGCAAGATGTTCAGTAATTCAGATGTGAGATTCAGATTTGCTTTGAGAAATTACATTAAACTTGTTAAACATGAATTAGGGAGACCCCAAAGCGCTGGATACACAGAATTCCCTTCGTGCAAAAGTAGTTACAAGCACCACAGAAATTTACCTGTGGGGTTTGAAGGCTGTATTGATGACAACAGCTAAGAAAAGGTGTAACATTTAGGGAACTCATAAATAAAGATCTTTATTAAGATACGGTGCTAACTTCTCAGTCTACGCCTCCAGGGCAGGAGCAGAGGCACCTTCTCTATTTTCCTATGCCCCTCCCACCCACTCCTCTCTCCTCCCCGTTACCCCCACCATGCAGAAACTGGGGCCTGCTGTAGAATCACTAACAATGACTTCAAATGCTGCTTTTTTTTTTTTGAGACGGAGTTTTGCTCTTGTTGCCCAGGCTGGCGTGCAATGGCAGGATCTCGGCTCACTGCAACCTCCATCTCCTGGACTTAAGCAATTCTCCTGCCTCAGCCTCCCAAGTAGCTGAGATTACAGGCGCCCACCACCACGCCCAGCTAATGTTTGTATTTTTAGCAGAGACAGAGTTTCACCATGTTGGCCAGGCTGGTCTCAAACTCCTGACCTCATGTGATCCACCCACCTCGGCCTCCCAAAGTACTGGGATTACAGGCGTGAGCCACCACACTCAACCCTGCTTAACTTTTGAAGCCTGCAATTCACATATTCCTCTTGACATCCTTTCCAAGATTCACTTGCATGAAGGGTGTGGCTGCCTTCCAGCAGCTTCACATGTAATGGTTCTTTAGAGAAGTGGAAGCAAGGGCAATTGCTCTGGAGCAACATTCTAGGAAAGTGCTTGGTGCTGTTGATGGGGTAAGGGAGGGGCATTTGGAATACTTCAAGAAGACTTGAGCCAAATCATCACCTTGGGGTGATTACACACCTGCCCTGCGCACCACCCAGAAGCTGGAGGCCGGGGAGAGGTTCACCGCAGAGCCTGGGAGAGGCCTGCGGAAGTGATCCTCAGCTGTCGGAAGGGAACACACACTCAGGAGATGTGAGGGAACATTCAGGGAATACACACTCAGGCCATGCTTTGCAACGGTCTTCTCCATCCCTGTGTCACTCTGGATATAGCCAGGGCCAGGACCAGGGGGTGGCAGGCAAAACCAGGGCCTAGGGCACCAATCCAGGGAGGCGCTGGAGCTCAGGGTCGTACTAGTGCAGAGGCGGCGCCTGAGGGCCGGCGCCTCCTCCTTGGGTGTTGGCCCTGGCTCCCCCTTGCCTCCTCCTGGTCCTGGTCCTGGGAGTATAGCCAGCCTTTCTTCCATCCCTCCCTTTCGTTCTGATAATGTTATCTCAGGATTGTGTACCAGGCAAAGTTCTGAGGAAATCTAGAACAGGTCCTGGCATGCAGTGTCACCTAGGAGGCCAGCTGTCATATCTTGCTTGTTCACAGAGTGCAAAATGAGTTCCTTCAACCCAATTCAAGAATCGTTTTTTGAATATTTCTTGAGTTAAAAAGCATTTTGCTAGCCTGCTGGAGGATGCCAAAATACATGAGAAGACTCCAGTGCCCACCAGGGCTCACATTGAGAGATGAAGCCTGCTGGGGGGACGGCACTGTGAGCGTGCACGTGGGGAGTCATGTGTAGACAGCACCCACTATCCAGGTCCCGTGCCCTGTGCCTGGTGCAAGCGGCTGACAGCAGCTTTGTCCCTTGGGATCACACCAGCCACAGTAAAGCACTGAGTGCCAGCCACGGAACCGCTCCTGGGAGCCTCCGTTGCCTCATTAGTGAAGCAGAAATAACACTGCTGTAAAAGAGTGTGTATTAGTCTGGGTTCTCTGGAGAAACAGGACCAATGGTATAGAGAGAGATATATAGAAAGAGATTTATTACAAGGACTGGTTCACGTGATTACAGAAGCTGAGAAGTCCCCTAATCTGCCATTTGCACCCAGGACAGCCAGTGGTGAAGTTCCAGTCCAAACCCGCAGGCCTGAGAACCGGGGGAGCCAATGGTCTAAGTTTTGAAGGAGTTTGCAGGCCCAGCAACCAGGAGTGGGGATGTCTAAGGGAAGGAGAAAATGAACGTCTCAGCTCAGCAGGGAGAAAGTGCACTCCCCCTCCGCTTTTTGTTCTAGTTAGGCCCTCGGTGGATAGAATGGTGCCCACCTGCATTGGTAAGAGTTGACCTTCTGTACTCAGCCTACCAATTCAAACACTGATCTCTTCCAGAAACACCCTCACAGACACACCCAGAAGCAGTATTTTACTGGCTCTCTGGGCATTCCTTAGCCCAGTCAAATTGACACAGAAAATAACCATTGCATTCTCTATTTTGCAATGTAGGACAAGATATTATCTCATTTAAGCACAAACTCCTCTAATTACATTAGTTTTAATATATTGGTATGATGATGTTCTTCTCCCCTGTCCAAGGAGCTCAAAACTTGCAAGTTGTTCTGTCACCTAGATAAGTTTGAAAATTACTGGGAAAGGGCACTTTCTTTCACAGGCATGAGGTCTTTTTTGGTGGAGGATGGAGGCTGGGCTCTGGCAGGCTCCCACCGCACCTGGCGTGAGAGAGTTGAGGGCAGGCTCCAAAGCACCCAGCTGCTCAAAGCCACCAGCCACTCTGTTTTCCACTGGAACAGGGGTCAGTTCTGTCCCTGGAATTTGCAGCCTAAGTATCACAACTCCACCAAAGTCTGAAGGCAGGCTGGCAGATCTTTGGGTTGTCATATGAGTCTTTGGAGAGGTAGGATGTGGTCCTTTTGGGAAGAGTCACCCACTCTTCCTGGGCAGAGATTATCAGGACATTCAGGTTCAACTGAGATTTCAGTCACTATGTCTGAGAATTAATACACCGTAAATACTCATTGATTAAATCACTTATTTGATTCAGACTTTGCCTAAATGATATTAAGGTGGCAGACAAGAGAACTGAAAACATAGCAAAATGGGTTTCCTTAGGTTATTTTCTGATCACTTGATTAATTTTAACTTTAGTTTATCTCTACAGAATCCATCTCTGTGTCCTTTAGGAAGAGGGTGTCAAAAAACAACATCTTATAAGCCAAAGCCATTAACTTTCACTTTTGATCATGAGTTCCCTTTCTACATTTTTTATAATAAATTTTACATCTCCATGATATGCATTTCTGTTGGTGCACAGTTATTATCAGATATTTTTCACTTTAATGAATCTCTGTGCACACATACTAGGCAGAATGTAAATTTCCATATGTGATGAAATGTGTGAACAGAAGTAAAATTACAGTGCCATCTTCAGGAAACTAAAAGTCTTTCTTTACAAAGCACTACATATGTAGCTCCAAGTCAGCTAAAAATGTTCCCGGATTTGAACATAAATCTCTCCTTTATGTTATAAAAATGGTAGGTGAAGCAAAGGATAAACATGGGGCAGCTCTTTGCAGTGAAATGCAATAAAATCTTCTAGATAACCACAGAGGCGCTAAGGATTTAGTGCTCCTGGAACCAGAGAGGGTGTGACTGCCTTGTTTTATAGCCGTATATTCATTACAGATGGCTAAAGGAGAGGAAAAATTAAAAGGAGGACGCAAAGTTGCCCTTGTTGCAAGCAAACTGCCTCTGTTTTTCTTAAATTGTTATGGATTGCCGAAGCTGGAAGAAAACCTGCGTAGTTCCGGGTGCCAGCTCCTGGTCTGGTAGAAAGTTATTCTGACAAGCCATGGTGTGCACCTATATGTGTTTGGATAAGAGCACTGGGGGACCCCCATCCACACACTAAAGGAGGTTTAAGAAACTCAGGCCATGAACGGCTAAAGCACAGGGCTTGGTTTCAGAGAGCCAGAGAAGGTTAGAGCTAGAAAGAAGTTGTTTTACAGATGGGGAAACTGAGTCCTGAAGAGGATGCTTAACTTGCCCAAGGTCACGTGTCTAGTAGACCACTGGAAACTCTCTTGATACCTGGAGCCCTTCAATAAATGGGCAGGTAAACTGGTCTAATCTTTCTGGAAAGCAACTCGGAAATTGATCATATGCTTAGAGCCAGGACTTCCTGCCCATACTGACTTTTTTTTTTTTTTTTTTTTTTTTTTTTTGAGACAGAGTCTCAGTCTGTCGCCCAGGCTGGAGTGCAGTGGCGCCATCTCCGCTCAATGCAAGCTCCGCCTCCCGGGTGCACGTCATTCTCCAGCCTCAGCCTCCCAAGTAGCTGGGACTACAGGCACCCGCCACCACGCCTAGCTAATTTTTTGTATTTTTAGTAGAGACGGGATTTCACCGTCTTAGCCAGGATGGTCTCAATCTCCTGACCTTGTGATCCGCCCACCTCGGCCTCCCAAAGTGCTGGCATTACAGGGGTGAGCCACCGCGCCTGGCCACCATACTGACTTTCAAGCTGCAGAAGTGGGGCCTTTCCCTAGCCTTGCGCTTTGGAGAGCCCCTCCCTTCCCACCCTGCCGCGGGTGTCATCTCCCCACCAGGCAAGGAGTAGGAAGAGATCAGGGAACATGCCCATGCCTCACCAATCCCCCTAGATCACACTCCAGCTTCCTGGAACTCTGGAATTCCCTGCCCAAGCAGTCCTAAGCCAGCTTCCAGGACCTGAGCATATCACCCAAAGGGTAGCAAGGCGTGAAGGTTTATGGGAAGGGAAAGTGTGGTCAGCCCTAGAAGCTTCAGTGTGCAGGCTGAGGTGCCAACACGCATGCGCACAAGCCCCCTCCCAGTGAGAGACAAAGCTGGGGGTGGGAAGAGGAGGCGGTCAGGCCCCGGGTCAGTGCCTGGGGTCCGTTCTCCCCACGCCAGCATGTTCCATTACAGAACTCCAAGGAACCTACAAATTCTAAATTCAAACCTTGTATTTCAGGCCATTTTGAAGGTATATTTGTCAAGGTAGATGGCTAGAATATATCTTATATAAATTATCAATTTGTTTGCTTGATTTATAACTTAAATATCTAGACACATTTTTACTTTTGCTCTGAGCTCAGCAAATCAGGAATAGACTGATTTTTCTCAATACTCAAAAGACATAATCAGAAATGCAAACAAAGCTTTATGCACAAAGATATTTAAAGTATATTTTATAAGAGCCAAGAATATGTATCATCTTAAAAGTCCAATATTAAGTGAAGTATTAACTAAATTATATTATACCCTAGATGTAAGATCTCTCAAAGATTTTAGGCTTGAATGATTGGAGATGGAGGAAGAACAAGTTGCAGGAGACGGTGAGGAGTTGCAAACCAAGAGTTCCATTGTGGACATATTATGTTTGAGATGCCTGCAGGCAAGCAGGTGGTTGGTTATACAAATCAAGAACACAGGGCTAGAAATATAAATTTGAGATTCACATAAATAGAATTATCATGTATATATGATCATATCAATATGATTACATCTATATATAAAACCATTGGAATCATATATGATCATATGGATAGATGTAATATCTATTGGTTGGTTTAAGCCACTCTACTGAGAGCCGTAGGGCAATGCCTATGGCGAGAGGGGAAAACACTTCTCTTTCTGAAGCCATCAGGCCTCTTCCTCAGAACACTTGCTTCCTTTCAACCACATCCAGCCTTGTTCCATTAAGGCCCCTTCTGGCTCCCTCTCTTTTACCATAGACTTGAGTGTTTCAGGCCTATTGATGCACTACAGCATTCCGCATGAGCTTTGGAAAAGAGCCAGTAATGGATTAACCCTTTCTACAGCTGAAGTTCAAAGTGCTCCCCCAAGACGGAAGCAGTGAAAGAGAAGGTGGACCACAAACTGCACCCTCCTCCCTCCCCAGGAATCTCACTAAGCTCCAGAAAGAGCTGCAGGTGTCCAAATCAGCAGTGGGTCTCACTGCAATGTGAGTGCATCCATCTTTTTGCTGTTGGGCCCTCAGTGTGGATAAAGAGAAAAAACAAGAGGAAATGTCCTTCAGGGTCGGTTTCATCCTGGACACAGGATAAAGTGGGACACAGGGCCACGTTCCTCTCTTCTACAGGATTCAAACACTCAGCAACACTGCAGTCAAGGGCAAATACATGCATACATGGTTAAATAATTCTGTTTTGCTTCAGGGGGAATTTTGTTGTTTTTTTGTTGTTGTTGTTTTTTGAGATGGAGTCTGGCTCTGTTGTCCAGGCTGGAGTGCAGTGGCACGATCTCGGCTCACTGCAAGCTCCGCCTCCTGGGTTCACGCCATTCTCCTGCCTCAGCCTCCTAAGTAGCTGGGACTACAGGTGCCTGCCATCACACCTGGCTAATTTTTCTATTTCTAGTAGAGACGGGGTTTCACCATGTTAGCCAGGATGGTCTCGATTTCCTGACCTTGTGATCCACCTGTCTCAGCCTCCCAAAGTGCTGGGATTACAGGCGTGAGCCACCGTGCCCGGCTGCTTCAGGGGGAGTTTTAAAAGATAAAGATGTTGTAGTTACGGGATTTACTGTGTTTCTTTTGAAAGATGCTCATAACTGTTAAGAAAACACTTATCAGTTTACTTAAAACAGTGAGCAAATTTTCCTCTTTTCCCCTTTTTATTATTACATATATATTTTTCCAGACAGGGTCTCTCTCTGTTGCCCAGGCTGGAGTACAGTGGCATGATCTTAGCTCACTGCAGTCTTGACCTCCCAGGCTCAAGCCATCCCCTCAACCTCAACCTCTCAAGTAGCTGAGACTACAGGCCCATGCCACCACACCCCACTAATTTTTGTATTTATTATAGAGACGGAGTCTCACTATATTGCCCAAGCTGGTCTCAAACTGGGCTCAAGCAATCTGCCCACCTCTGCCTCCAAAAGTCCTGGGATTACAAGTGTGAGCCACCATACTTGGCCAATCTTTTCCCCTTTTTATAAAAAAAAATATATGTGAAATTGTAGTGTTCCATTTTTTTCCTCCTTTTTCATATATGATTTAAAATGTAATCTACATATTTTGCATCATTAAACATCATTAAAAGTAGAAAAACAAAGAACTAGGACTGGGTTTTTCAAAGGTAGAAGTGAAAACACGTTAACATAATCATGTAAATATAAGCAAATAATGTAAATATAAACTGATGACTGAGGAGTAAAACACAGGAATAAAAGCAGAAAGGCAGGTGATGAAATAGATTACAAATCTAAAGAATATGTGGCTGGAAAATGTGGACACCACTCTTCCAAAAGTAGAAACACAGTCTGTATGCTTTGGGTATGTTATGTGTTGGAAGCCGGGGGTATTTATTTATAGATGTACACCTCTGTCTCTGTCTCTGTCTCTGTCATTCACTTCCAATCCATCTGGAAGGTGGGGATCAGGAAAGTAGCTTCAGGTGAAATGGTAAAGTCTTATCTATCCTTCCTCTCACAACACTCCACAGCCCACACCTTTCGGAATGCCTTCCTTTTTCACGAAGCCCTCTGCCCAGCCACCTTAGGCAGCTCACTCCCTGTGCCCGGCCTCCTGTTCCTGCACTCTCCAGCTCCACCACTCACCTTTCCCGTGGTGTCCTACTCACCCAGACTCAGCTGCCTCTAATCTCATTTCTTCCCATAGTCACCTCTGAAGTGTCAAATATCACAGTAAACCCACCGTTTCTCCATCCGTGTGACCTTGAGCAATATACTTAATCTCTGGGTACATTGGTATTCCCCCTATAAGGTGGAGTTAATACTAATGCCTGCTTGTTGTGAATAAGTTTGTGGGTCAAAAGGTGCCACATGGAGAGCACTCAGCACGATGTTGACCCATGGTCCCATTCAGCAAGTGTCAGCTTCCATTCCTATCAAAGACCTGGTGAAACGAAACGAAGTGATGGTGCTCCCACCTTTGGGGGTGTCAGCCCCTCCACTCCATCCCCCAACCTCCCAGTCTCTGTGCCTCTGCTTTTCCTTTTATATTATCAACACTTACGGGGTTTTTTGTTTGTTTGTTTGTTTTTTTGAGATGGAGTCTTACTCTGTCACCCAGGCTGGAGTGCAGTGGTGTGATCTCGGCTCACTGCAACATCTGCCTCCAGGGTTCAAGCGATTCTCCTGCCTCAGCCTCCTAAGTAGCTAAGATTAAGGCACCCGCCACCACAGCCAGCTAATTTTTGTATTTTTACTAGAGACGGGGTTTCACCACATTGGCCAGGCTGATCTGGAACTCCTGACTTCAGGTGATCTGCCCGCCTCAGCCTCCCAAAGTGCTGGAATTACAGGAGTGAGCCACTGCACCCGGCCAACACTTATGGTCTTTATATGAAATACTTCTGAGAATTTCATGAGTTGTCTCTAGATTGATTCTAAAATTGAAAACCAATAAATGCCACTTATGTGATGGCAGCTATGTAAATATTATCACTATAAAATCAAGTAGTGTGCTATGATCACGCTTCCTTCTCCCCTATGCTACACAAAAGAGACTGCACCAGCAACACGTCCAAATGCATTCTCTCTTTGTATATGTTGGGAGATAATTGCTGATCCTTCTGCACCAGAAACATCTTCTGAGCAAAGGACACCAACAGCTTTGTTCAAAGATGTTTGGATAACAGACAACCTTGGAACCTAGAGGTAGTATCTCCCCTCTGGGACAGAGGGCAGATTTGTTTATAATAACAGTGATTTCCTCCCTTCAATTTAAAGCAACCTCTCCCAGACACGTTCTAGGGTAATACAGCTGGACAGCCCTCCTTTTCCTCCCCTGAGATATTCCTGGGTAATGAAGCCAACATCTCTACTTGGAAGGAGAAGAGGCAGCTTTGATGGCTATACCTGTAGAAGATCAAGATCTCCCATCTGCATGTTACTCAGCTGTGCACGAACCCACTGTATGTGCAACATCCACCTAAGCCTGCTCCACACTGTCCCCATGAGACCTGGGGGCAAAGGGGAGCAAGGCAAACATGGAGTCCACGGAGCCTGCTGTACTGTGAGTAATAATCCAAGTCCCCTGGGCTCATTTCTCCTTACTGGCTGAAGCTCTACAGTATGGCGAATCAAGCAACTTAGTAGTTTCAGTGGATGCTGCCGCTTAAGGACTGCTCGACTATTTTAACAGTTTACTCCAATTATTCAAAATCATTGTGCCACAGTTTGGTTTTCTTTTTGACTTGTGCCTTTCTTGTATAATTTGTTGTTGTTGTTTCCTGGAATTTTTCCTTCATTCTATGGCTTGGTCTTATTCTCAGACTTTTCCAAGCCATTGATCATACAATTTTCTATCAAATTCCCCTCTCTTGTTTTTTCTAGATCATTCTCTGATGGTCTCCATGCTCCTCTCCTTACGTGGACTAGTTGCTCTGGAGGCCTTCTATGTAGTTGTTATCTGGGAACTTTTCTTCTAGATTGAATGTACTATTTCCTAAAACTCATGTTAGTATTTATTGTTTTACTTTCTCATTTTGCTGAATTACATCTGCAAGTAACTCCCAAAGAAAAGGTGCTTTGTGCCTGTAAAGTCAATATTTTGAGTTTTTAATTATATAAGAAGATTGTTATTCTTATTTTACATTTGATGATTTAGATTGGTATAGAATTGAAATCAATTCTCTTCAGAAATTTGATGGCATTTTTCCATTTTCTTATAGCATCAATGGCTGTTGATGAGATATCATATGTCAGTATGATTCCTGTTCATTGGTAGGTAATCTTTTTGTTTCCTCCCTGAAGTCTTTGATTTCTTATCTTTATACTTAATTCCCTGAATATCTAAATGAGGGCTTTTAAAATTTATTCTGTATAGATCTTTCACTTTGAATATTTATGTTCTCCTTTAGTTCCGGGAAATGTTCTTGTATTATATCAGTGATATTTTCCAGCCTCTTCTCTCTATCTAGAATTCTTGTTAGTCAGGATTCTAGCTCCTAGACTCATGTTACATAACTTTTCTTTCCTCATACTTTAAAAAAATCTCATTACATTTTGTTCTTTATTATGAGAGACTAGCTTGAGTACATTTTCTACCAACTGAGTCATCAAGATCCTGGAAGGAAACAGATGGCACATGCAAAAGGTAAGTGAGGAAAATTTAATAAGGCAACTATTTGTAGAGTTACGGTCAGTGCTAAAGAACCAACAAAGAATGGTGAAGTTCTCATAGATTAGCAACAGTGCAAAGCCATTATCACCCCTAAACCTGAAAGGGTCTGGAAAAAAAGCAAAGTTATTGGAAAATGAGCTGCAGCCATGAATGAAGGACCATCTGGCAGGAATTGTGGCCACAGCAGAGAAAACCAGCCATTGCCAAAACCACACTCAGCAGAGTACTGAAGATTCTCATTATTCATGGTAGCTATGTTCTATCAAGTCACCACAAGCACTGAATCAGCAAATACTGTTCCTAGGAGAATTACGGGGTTAGGTTCCTGTAAGCTTCTGGTCACATTATTGCCAATATTTAATTCATAACCTTGTTTTATGTGTGTTTCTGTTTAAAGACATCATATTTAATGTATGTTGTGGATCCATTAACATTAAACTCATGGCTAATAGCCCTTATCATACATGTCTGAACAAAGGTTATCTAATCTGTGTTTTTTTCCATAAGGCACCACATCACAGCTTTCTCACACTTAGGAACAGTAGACACTTGGGGCATTTTAAACACTGAAATCACCAAAAAAAAAAAAAAAAAAAAATCCACTAAATGTAAAAGTATGGCACTAAATAGACTGAGAAAAGGACACCTGTTTATACTGTGCGAGCTTAAACAAGAAGGGAGAGCATTGCCTGGTTCCACCTCAGCTGGGAAGTGTGTATCCAGCAACTCAAATTTTTTGCCACTCTGTGCCTGTCTGTAAATGACAAAAGAAGTCCATAAGCACTGACTTTGGGGTGATGAATAAATTAGTGAATAGGTGAATTCACATATGTGGAATCCAAGAATAATAAAGATTGATCATGCTTTCTTGCCCTCTAATCAACTGGCGTTTCTTTGGCCAAACTCAACCAGAAGTCAGAAGCAACAAAGCCCAGATAATACAATTTGTACAAGTCAGTCTCCCAGGCACACAGTAAGGTAGAAAAGAACAGAATAGATCTGGAGGGACAAACAGAAAATCCAATCCACCCTTACCATTGAATTTCAAAATTGGCAGTTATATTTTTCACTTCCAGAAGATCTTCCATTCTCTAATTGTTCTTTTTTTTTTTTTTTTTTTGACATTTTACACACAGACAAATATCTTCTCAAATTTCTCTGAAGATAACAACGAAAGTTATTTTTTACTGTGGTATGTCTTTTTGTACATGCTTTTAATTCTCTTTGGTTACCTGTATTATGTCTGATTCCTCCAAAGTTTTTTTGTTTTGTTTTTTGTTGTTGTTGTTGTTTGTTTGTTTGTTTGAGATGGAATATCCCTGTGTCACCCAGGCTGGAGTGCAGTGGCACAATCTTGGCTCACTGCAACCTCTGCCTCCCAGGTTCAAGAGACTCCCCTGCCTCAGCCTCCTAAGTAGCTGAGATTACAGGCATGCATGACCACACGTGGCTAATTTTTTGTATTTTTAGTAGAGGCAGGGTTTCACCATGTTGGTCAGGCTGATCTCAAACTCCTGACCTCAAATGATCTGCCTGCCTTGGCCTCCCAAAGTGCTGGGATTATAGGCATGAGCCACCACACCCGGCCTCCTCCAAGGGTTTTTTAATCAGTAAATATAGGTGTCTTAGTCTGTTTTGTTTTGCTATAACAGAAAACCTGACACCGAGTAATTTATAAAGAGGTTTATTTAGCACATCATTCTGCAGCCTGAGAAGTTCAAGGGGAATGGCCCTAGTATCTACTCAACTTCTGGTGAGGGCCACGTGCTACATCAAAACACGGCAGAGAAGGCCAAAGGGGAAGTGAACACAAGCAAGGAACTCGTGGGAACCAGATCATTCCTGGGAGAACTCACTCCCATGAGAGACACCATTTTTCTATTAATTAGGGATCTGTCCCCATGACCCAAACACCTCCCATTGGGCCCCACCTCCCAACACTGCCAGCTGGCAATTAAACTTCCACATGAGTTTTAGTGGAGACAAACCACATCCAAACCATAGCAACAGATATTTCTTTTCCGTATCATATTCTTTCCTCAACTGTATGACCGTATTTGTAATATTTATTTATTTACTTACTTATTTGAGACAGGATCTCACTCTATTGCCCAGGCTGGAATGCAGTGGTGTGCTCATGGCTCACAGCAACCTCAATCTACCTGCCATCAGGTGATCCTCCCATCTCAGCCCCGCAAGTAGCTCGGACTACAGGTGCACCCCACCACACCTGGCTAATTTTTGTATTTTTTGTAAAGATAGGATCTCGCCATGTTGCCCATGCTGACCTCAAACTTCTGGGCTCAAGGGACCCACTGCCTCGACCTCCCAAAGTGCTGGGATTACAGGTGTGAGCTACTATGCCCAGCCTGGCCATACTTTTTTTAATGAGGTAATAGAAAAGGTAACTGGGAGTTTCTTGTCAAAGGTACGGCCTGTTAGCACTGTTGACAAGTAGGCTTTACTCCAGATTAGGGCTTCTCAACCTTGACACTACTGATGCTTAGGCCCAAGTCTTTGTTATGGGGCTGACCTAATAGCATCCCTGGCCTCAACCCACTGGATGCCAACAGCCTTGCCCTTCTTGTGGTGACTATCAAAAATGTCTCTAGATATTGCCAAATGTCTACTTAGGGCTAAAATCACCCCCTGGTTGGAAACCATCATCTCATCATCCTACTTGAGAATTACTTAGAAATCCAGGCCAGGAGCGGTGGCTCACGCTTGTAATCCCAGCACTTTGGGAGGCTGAGGCAAGTGGATCACAAGGTCCGGAGTTCGAGACCAGCCTGGCCAACACAATGAAACCCCATCTCTACTAAAAATACAAAACTTAGCCAGGTGTGGTGGCATGTACCTATAATCCCAGCTACTAGGGAGGCTGAGGCAGGAGAATCACTTGAACCCAGGAGGCCAAGGTTGCAGTGAGCTGAAATCGCACCACCGCACCCCAGCCTGGGTGACAACATGAAACTCCATCTCAAAAAAAAAAAAAAAAAAAAAGAAATCCAAATACTCAGGTCCCACTCCAGATGTCCTGAATCCCCTAAAACTTCTGGCAGGTGGAGCTCGGCAATCTATTTTAACAACGCTCCTGGTAATTCTGAAGCACACAAATGCTGGACAATGATCGCTCTACAGTAAGAAGGTGAAATACTTGCCATTTTACTGGCACAGTAGAACATAAAAAAAGAGCATGATTTTTTTCACCTCCCAAGAACTGAGCGCATAGCCTGGACTCTCCGTTATCAGCCCTGCTTCCTGCTCCCACCCTTAAATATTTCAATATTCAAGTCAGGAGCCTGCACTAACTTCCACCAAGCTGATCACCCCCTCTATGGCTCACCCATACTCCAGTATTCTAAGGTGCCACTCCCCATTCCACTGGTCAACACTCTCCCTCTCACTGTGCATTTCCAAGAAAACTGATGAAACCTCCCATCACATTGCTTCCCTCCCATTCTCTCTGTTTTGTCAGTTTCTACCTTTCTTATCCCTGTACTATAATGTGTTAAGTTGTCAGTGGGGGGAATAGCATCGTGACTAAGAGTCTGGTTCCTGGCGTCAGATCCCTGGGTTCCTATTCTGGGTCTGCCACTTCCTAGCTGTGTTTGTCTGGGCAAGTCACTTGGCATTTCTCTGCCTCAGTTTCTTCATCTGTAAAAGTGGGATAATGGTCCTTACCCCACAGGATAGTTGGGAAGATTCATGAGTTAGTGCATGTAAAAAGAAAGATATACCATTAAATATGAAGAACTGGCTGGGCGCAGTGGCTCATCCTTGTAATCCCAGCACTTCGGGAGGCCGAGGTGGGTGGATCACCTGACTTTAGGAGTTCAAGACCAGCTTGGCCAACATGGCGAAACCCCGTCTCTACTAAAAATACAAAAATAAGCTGGGTGTGGTGGCATGCGCCTGTAATCCCAGCTACTCGGGAGGCTGAGGCAGGGAGAATTGCTGGAGGCAGAGGTTGCAGTGAGCCAAGATCGTGCCATTGCACTCCAGCCTGGGCAACAGAGCGAGATTCTGCCAAATAAATAAATAAATAAATGGATGGATGGATGGATGGAACTGAACACATGCCATTTACCTCTAATCCCTCCCACAACCTGACTAAGATTTTAAGAGACAGAGAAACAGAGAACTGGAGTTGAGATCATTCTGGAGGCTGAAAAGCAGCAGGAAGGGCCGAGAAGCAGCCCACATGGCACTGGAGAATCCCGTAAAGGCTCAGGAATTGATGGCACCAGGTACCTCTTGAAAACACAGGCAGAGTAAGTAAAAGTTTACCTACTGAATATGAAGCTTGATTCCTGCATTGCAAACCCTCCCCACCCCCAGATTTCTTCCCTGACTCAGCTCCCAGAAGGTTAGCCAGCCAGGCTCATACTCTTCCAGCCAGGGAGTTGGAAAGAAATTTTTCCAAAAGTTAGAGACCTGAATTTCCAGATATATAAGTCCATCTCATGGCCTGCAAAATACATGAAAGTGATCCACATAGAGGTACGTCATGTTTCAGAACAGCAAGGCCAAAGAATAGGTCCTTCAAGTTTCCAGATAGGGAGAAAAATAGGGCACATACTCACCCGGAGATGGGAATCTGCACGGCTTCAGATTTCTCAACAGCAACACTGAGTGCACTGCCTTCGAATGTTGAAGGGAAAATGATTTCCAACCTGGAACCATGCTACAGCTTGGATGCTTGTCCCTTCCAAATCTAATGTTGGAGTCTGATCTCCAGTGTTGGAGGTGAGGCCTAATGGGAGGTGTTTGGGTCATGGGGGTGGATCCCTCATGAATAGATTAATCCCCTCCAGGAGGTGGGTGGGGGTGAGTGAATTCTCGTTCTGTCAATTCCCATGAGAGCTGATGGCTAAAAGGAGCCTGTTACCTCCCCTCTGTCTCTCTCTCTTGCTTCCTGTCTTGCCGTGTGATCTGCACACACCAGCTCCCCTTCACCTTCTTCCATGAAATGAAGGCAGCTTCTGCCCTTACCAGATGCAGAGGCCCAGCCTTGAACTTTCCCAGACATGAGAACCATGAGCCAAAGACACCTTTTTCTTTATAAATTACCCAGCCTCAGATATTCCTTTATAACAACACAAAACAGATAAGACAAACCATATGTCAGGTGAATTACTGTGAGAGTACACTAACCACATTTCCAGGTTTGTAGAATCTCAATCCAAATTAGATCTACTATTCTCCTACTGTCAGCATTCCCCTTTGCTTGCCTTTAAGTGGGGAGAAGGCAGTAAGGAGGTATGTGCTCCCCTGGAACAGAGATTCCCACGCTGCATGTCCTGCAGAGTGCCTGTGCCCCGCAATTCTCCTCTGTGGACCAGGGGAGGGTGGGGAGGCCCCCGCCTCCCACCATTCCTCTCCGTGGAATGACGGAGGGTGGGGACCAGGCCTTCTCATCTCTTGCTGATTCAGGTGTTGTACATTTCACCCTTCCAGTAAACACATTGTAGAGGAGGAAAACTTTTTTCTCTGTACTTCTAGGTTCTCCAGCTGGGGCTCTTGAAATTAAACTGGCAAAAGATAGACTAACCAGAAGGAAGTACAGTGTATTCATATACACAGCATGTATCCATGCAGGAGAAAGGTAGTGACCAATAACTGGAAGGGATGATTAGAACTTAAGGTTCTATAGCATCTTAACAAAGAACAGTAAATTTGTAGAGAAATGACAACACTAAGGGGTTTAGGCTTTTAGGGACCGCACACTATGGGAAGGTAAATGTACAGAGGAAGCTAACAGAAGATGCAGGTTATTTTAGGAATGTTTGTTGTATAGATTCCTTCGCGCTGTCTTGAAGCAAATAAGTCTAAGCCTACTTTTACCAGGCAGGGGGAGGCAGAGAATGCTTTTTTTGGCATCTGCTCTTCCACAATTGTCTTCAGCTCAAAACAATCCTTAGGCCAGAGTGGTATATTTTGGGGTGACATATTCTGATCCCCTACACCAGGGGTTCCCAATCCCCAGGACCATGGTCTGTTAGAAACTGGGCTGCATAGCAGGAGGTGAATGGGGTACAAGAGAGCATTACCACCTGAGCTCCGCCTCCTCTCAGATCAGCGACAGCATTAGGTTCTCATAGGAGTACAAACCCTATTGTGAACTGTGCATTCGAGGGAACTGTGCATGCTCCTTATGAGAATCTAACTAATGCCTGATGATCTGAGGTGGAGCAATTTCATGCCAAAACCAACCCCCACTCCCTTGTCTGTGAGAAAACTGTCTTCCATGAAACTGGTCCCTGGTGCCAGCCAAAAAGATGGGGGACCGCTGCCCTACAGTATGATGAAAGAATTTGTTCCAAGCCCTATGCCCTTCAGGTGACATCCCAAGCTTAATAAAAATAGCACATAAGCTTGAACTAAACTTCCTACCTTGGTCAAGGAGTTGGGAGGGTAGGAAGAGAGTGTGTGATGATCTCTCTGGTTAATTTTCCTTTTCTGTAAAATGTGAACAATAGTGTCTATTTTTCCAGGACTCTCTGAAAATCAGAGATAACATATATTGAGGACTTAGTAGATTAGTTTGCTTATGTTGGGGACAATCATAACTATTTTATTACTTAATTACTTCAGTTTGCCCTTCTTAAAATACAGCAGCCAGGTGTTACCTGAGTGGTACCAAATACAGAATCTGGACTCTCCACTCTGATTAATGCTGACTGTGACTGGTGCGGCCTTCTCCAGCTGCTAACTCAGGGTGGACCTGAGATAAGCTAAAATACCCGATTTTTTTTTCTCTTTCCTTTATTAAGTAAAATTTAAGTGCTAAACTATTTATTTCTACTGAAATTCACTTTATTGGTTTCAGTTCAGCATGATAGCCTATTGAAATCATTTGGATTAAGACTTTCTTCTATATATTAGGTCTGTCTTCCCACTTTTGTCTCATAAGCCCACACTTGACAGTCATTTCTTCTGCATCTATATCGAAATCATTAATAGGAATATTAGGACCAAAGGCAAGGCTATCTGCCTCTCTACTAATGACATTACTGCCTGGTAGAAGACAGTTCCCCTTTCAGAGTTACAATTTTTTATCCTCACATTTCAAAATGTAGAAAAAATTATGTGATTATTATTATTATTATTATTTTGAGACGGAGTCTCGCTCTGTCGCACAGGCTGGAGTGCAGTGGTGCAATCTTGGCTTACTGCAACCTCCACCTACTGGGTTCAAGCGACTCTCCCGCCTCAGCTTCCTGAGTAGCTGGGATAACAGGCACCCACCACCATACTCAACTAAGTTTTCTATTTTTAGTAGAGACGGGGTTTCACCACATTGGCTAGGCTGGTCTTGAACTCCTGACCTCAGGTGATCCACCCGCCTCAGCCTCCCAAAGTGCTGGGATTACAGGCATGAGCCACAGTGCCTGGCCAAAAATTACATGATTATTATATAGAAAAAGTAAATTTTAAAAACCTCTCATTTCATTGATAAATAGCTGTAACATTTTCCAGTTTTGAAAAGGTATGGATCAACACCCCTGAGCATGAAAACATCATGATACCCCTATATGGATTTAAAATAAAAATAAGACTAAGCCACAAAAAAATATTGTTTTGCAAAATGACACACAGCACACAGGAATGCCAAAATTGTTTTAAAGGCTTTCCCCTAGAAGTTTCTCATCTGGGTTGTGAATGGGTTTTTTGATGGTGGTAATGGTGGTTTTCGTTATTGTTATTTTTACTGCTGCTGTATTGGTGCCCCAAGCAAGTGACTAGCCAGCATTCTGTTATCCAACAGCATTCCTGAACCAGCTATAAAAATCATCAGACCAGTGAAAATGGCTCTTATTTGAAAATTCATAAAAATACAGAGTTAGAAGGAACATTAGATATAATCTAATCCAAACTCCTGTCATGAAAAAGAAATACCCGATGCTTTAAAATTCACAGGGAAAATTGTTCACATCCATCATCTAATTCTCAGCTCCACACTGTCAGGCAGCCCATCCCACATCAGTCCGCCTTCTCCCCGGATTTCTGGCCATTTGTCCACAACTCTACACAGCTGAGAGCAGCAGTGGACACAGACTCCACTCCCTGCCCAGAAGTGAATGCTGATTACTCAAATCCCTTCTCCTCCAGGAAAACTCTGCTGAAAAAGATTCCTTATACCACTCGGATACCTCTTAGGGTACCTCTTAGGATACCTGGATCCTAAGAAAGATGCAATGAAAGACAACTGTGGAGACTGTCATGGTTGGATGTGAGGTCACTGCTATATGAAATCTCGCCTACAGGACAGACTACGTTTCTTTGTTAACCAGTTTGAGTCAGTTTTTCTGTTTCATGAAGCCAAAATAATCCTACCCAATATAGGAGGGCATTTGAGTTCCATTAAACACATGAGGAGCTGAGGCTCAAAGATAAGTTACTTCCCAAACTAGCACAGGAGCAGAGCCAGCACTAAAAGCCCCCGACAAATATTTTAACTCATTCTACTACACCCCAGAGCATGGGGGCTGATGCTTGAGCCACCCCCTACAATGCCTCCTCCATGTGTTCAACTCACGTTTTATTTCTTGAAACCCAGAGGGCACCTGGTTCTCACCTGCCTCCAGGCGAGCCACTGGGGACGACATTCAAAGAGATCTTGTTCTTGTTCACAACAGAATCATTCCTTCGTGGACTTGCCTGGTCTGCTACTTGGAGCAACCTCAAGGCTGCAACTCAACAAGCATCGTTAAATACACAGGTAGATAATTAGCAAGTTTGTTGCCAGCTGCTACCTGGAGTTTGGACACAGAAAAGATTTGAAGGCAGCCGAGATTGCCTTCAGCACCAACTTTAGAGTCCTGGCTTGAAAGCTGGAACCTTTGCGTCCTCCTAGAGCTGGGGATATTCGAGTGTAAAGAGATCTCAGAGGGGATCTTGTCCAACGGCATCATTTCACAGGTGACATGAGTGAGCCCTGATGCCAGGCAGCAGGTTAGTTGCGGAGCTGGGGCTACAACTCAGTTCCCCCGCCCGGCTCCCAGCAAAGCATTTCCCGGAGCAATCTGCAATGTGGATGGTAACACCTGAAACTTTTTAATGACCTATAATTCTTAAACGCAAATGCACTTTGTTTACACTGACACGGCTCAGATAAGTGGAGGAACACCAGGGTTCTTGGTCCTTGCACCGGTTTAGATAAAACGACACAGACACACGTGGAGTGGTTTTAAGGAATGGAGAGTTTAACAGGCAAGACAGAAGAGAGAAGAAAGAAGCAGCTCCCCCTACACAGACAGAGGGAGGGGGCTCCAAAGCCAAGATAGGAAACACTATCTTGAGTGCCGCGGATACCAACCAGTTCTGTGAGGAGGCTGGAGGCGGTGTCTGATTTGCACAGGACTCAGAGGATTGGTTTGACCAGGCATGTCATTCACGTGGCCGCAAAAAAACCGGCCTTCTCACCCTAATCTTTTAATATGCAAATGCAGGGTGCCATGATGTTCTACACACGTGGGGATATGTGGGGGCGGCCATGCTGCCAGACACATATGGAGGGGCAGGGAAAGAGGACAAGGGGGGAATCCCCATGTTAGGATGGACCCAGTTTCTAATGGCTTGCATTTGCATATCAAAGGTTGCTAGCCAGGCTCTAAGAGCCGGGGCTTTCCTGCTAGACAAGAAACTTTTCTGGAGCTACTTTAAAAGAGACAGACGCGGTGGCTCATGCCTGTAATTCCAGCACTTTGGGAGGCCGAGGCAGGCGGATCATGAGATCAGGAGATCGAGACCATCCTGGCTAACACAGTGAAACCCCATGTTTACTGGCAGGGGCCTGTAATTCCAGCTACTCGGGAGGCTGAGGCAGGAGAATCGCTTGAACCCAGGAGGCGGAGGAGGTTGCAGTGAGCTGAGATTGCATTCTAGCCCAGGGGACAGTGCTAGACTCCGTCTCAAAAAAAAAAAAAAAAAAAAAAAAAGACAGAAATTTTCCAAGGACCCCTTTTCCTCTCTAACCGCCTAAAATAATTTCTTAATAACTCCTATAACAATACCATGAGGTTCCTGGTTTTGGTCTGAACTGTGCTCACCCAGGATTCATGCTTGTTTTGAGGACCCATAGGATGGGAGCTAGAGGGCCTTATTACATAAGGAACCCAGGTGGCCTCAGGGAGTGAGCCATCCTGAAAGGGGACAGGCCAGTTGCACGTGCTTGACCCAACCACATCAGGGGCTCACATTCTAATGCCAAGTGTGTGTGAAGTGCTTGCATTTTTTATCTCTATCTTTACAATTAACCTAGGAGACAGCAACTATTATTACCCTGTTTTATTCTTAAGGAAACCGTGACCTTCAGAAGTTGCAGAACTTCCCCCAAAGTCACACAACTGGTAAGTTACAGAGCCAGGTCTCCGCAGGCTCCAGCAGAGCCTGGTCTGTCAGTGACAACTGCCCATGCAGTTACCCGCTATGCTACATTGCCCCCAAAGAAGTAACAGCTGACATATGCCTGTTTCTAATTTGTGCAAAGAACAGTTTTAAGGACCCTCTACAAAGTAATTTGTTTAACCCTAGTAACCTCCTGTATCAATTTCCTAGCACTGTCGTAACAAATTAGCACAAACTGGGTGGCTTAAAACAACAGAAATTTGTTCTCTCAGAGTTCAGGAGGCCAGAGGTCTGAAATCAAGGTGTTGGCAGAGCCATGCTCCTTTCAAAGCTTCTTGGGGAAGATCCTCCTTGCCTTTTCCAGGTTCTGGTAGCTCATTAGCAAGACAGTAGAAACATAAAGTAGCACCACTTAGGCCCAATATGACAGAATGTGACACAGAAATGTTGGTCAGAGTTCAACATATCTACCTTGGAGGCTGTAACCCATCACAGGCTCTGGCTATATCAGATGCTACGACGTACTCCCAGTATTCTGACTCCCAATATTCTAGATGCCAGGAGCACCTTCAGTGGAGCAATAGACCTGCCTACGTGAGCCAGCGGACAGCACCCAGGCCCAGCACCTCCACGGGGCCCTTCAAGAGCCGAGGCCTCATAGTTGACGTCACTATAGAACATAGAATTAGCATCAGAGACAATAGACAGAGAAAACAGTAGGCACTATATGGGGACAGAATCCTAAGAGGAAACCTATACTGGCATTTGAGGTGTGTCAGGCTTTGTGCTAAAATGAACACTTTGCTTCTGTTGTCTCACTTTATCCTCACAAGACTTCCGTGACAAATGAGGAAACTGAGGCACGGAGATTTTAATAACCTGCCCAAGGCCAAGTCCAGGTGGTCTAGCTCTGGAACCCACTGTATCACACGAAGACCTGTGACCACCAGCACATGAAGACAACCTTCCTCTCTGTTCCATTTAATCTCACTCTTCCATTTAATCTCTCTGTTCCATTTAATCTCACACATTATGTAAATATTTTCAGAAAAGCATGGGCAATTTCATCAGTAGAGGCTCAATAACACCTGGAAATTTATTCTTCAATTGTTAATTCTACAACCTAGTTTCCTGTGCATGTAGAATTCCTGTTCAAAACTGTATTTTTTAATATCAAAGGTTTACTTCTTTGTACAACTCCGATTGACAATATTGTTTCTAAATAAAGAGAAACATTCTGAAATTCCGCTACCAAACATTGAATTACAAGGAAAAAGTAATGTCAGCATTAAGCCACTAGATGGCACATTCTCACAGTTTGAGGCACAGACAAAATATTGAACAAATAAATTACCATCAACAGAACATTTTTAAAAATAGGTTCAAAATCAAATACTAGCATCAAATGTAATCAAGAAATTGTTTGTGATAGTAACTGATTGCTTAGGGAATAAAAAGGATAAAAATATAACCCCCATCTACTCCCAACCCTTACACCCTAACAATCAATAAAAATTAGTAAGACTGGGAGGATTTATAGAGAAAAGGAAATAGGTTATCTCTGTGCTTCCAGCTGAGCCTTAACTATCAATCTCTTTGGATAGGAGAGAGGGAGCCTTCTGATATTTCTACAGTTGCAACTGACAGGCTCTGTCATAGAAATTGACCACCTGGGAACCTACAGCACCCGGCTCATCCTCGGGTCAGGTTTTTGCCATGAGGCGGCAGCCGGCAGGCATTGGTTTATGGTGGTAGAAGGGGCATGTGCATGGAAACCTGGGTTTGGGCAAGTCACCTGGGTTTGGCCAGGTCACTTCACCTTTCTGAGCCGCAGGGTCCTCGCCTATATTTATAACCTATTTGATGAAATGTATATATGGTAACTACGTGAGGTGATAAATATGCTAATTTGATTGTAATCATTTTACAATATCTATCAAATCATCACATTGTACACTTTAGAATATATAAAATTGTTATTCGTCAATTATACGTCAGTGAAGCTGAAATATATGTAAGTATAAAATATATATAATATGCATATATCATTCACTTGGCAGAGTTACAGTAATGGTTGGGAATAATGACTTTAAAGCACCTCCCACATTCAACAGTTGTCAGATCATTCTTTATAGCTGTTACATCTGTGTCACTTTGGGAAAGTCACTTCACCTCTCAGAGTCTCAGACTCTTCGTCTGTGAAATAGAGACAGTTCTCACCACTCTCGGTCTTCAAGCCATGACTCCTACATTTTATCTTTCTTCCTTCCCTGATTTGTTTTTCTCAATAGCTCTTAATGCCACCAGACATAATTTTGATTCATTTGTTTGTTTATTGAACATTTCAGCATACAAAAATGCAAGTGCCATGAGGGAGGGCTTACCCTCCATCTGGTTCACTGCTGTGGCCCAGCATCCAGGACAGGGCCAGCATACAGCAGGCACGTATAAATATCTGTGCCAGGAATGAATGAATAGCACTACCTCAGACAGTTGCTGCAGACTTAGATAAGCATACTTTAAAAGAGTTTAGCACAACATCTGGCCCACAGTAGACATTCAGTGAGCCGTAGTAGTTAGTATGATTACCTGTGTGTCTTTTTTTTTTTTTTTTTTGAGACGGAGTCTCGCTCTGTTGCCCAGGCTGGAGTGCAGTGGTACAATCTCGGCTCACTGCAACCTCTGCCTCCTGGGTTCAAGCGATTGTCCTGCCTCAGCTTCCTGAATAGCTGGGATTACAGGTGCCCGTCACCACACCTGGCTACTTTTTGTATTTTTAGAATGTTGGCCAGGCTGGTCTTGAACTCCTGACCTCCGGTGATCCACTCACCTCAGCCTCCCGAAGTGCTGGGATTACAGGCGTGAGCCACTGTGCCCAGCTATGATTGCTTATATGTCTTTGTGCATGCAAGTGTAGAATCTCTCAAAACCCCAGTTACTGTATTTCCAAGTGGAACACAGGTTTGCTATCCAGATCAATTGAGAAGACATGTGCAACTCTTAGCTCAATACCTGGCACACGTCCGTCTATCAAGGCTCTGGTAACAGAATCAAGGCTGTGGAAGTTGGCAGCACTCACTTTTCCTACGTGAGGAGCTCACAGAATACACTGTCTTCGTTTCCCAGGTCTGCAGAAACAAATTACCACAAATGTGCTGACTTGAATCCACAGAAATTCATTCTCTCACAATTCTGGAGATCAGAAGTCTGCAATCAGGATGTTGGCAGGGCCACAGCCCCTTCAAAGCTACTAGGGGAGGCTGCACTTCCTTGCCTCTTCTGGCTTCTGGTGGCTCCAGGCATTCCTGGACCTGGGCAGCATCACTCTAATCTCTGCCTCCATCTTCACATGACCTTCTGTGTCTCTTCTCGTTGTGTCTCCTATGATAATTGTCATTGGATTGAAGACCCACCCTTATAATCCAGGATGATCTCATCTCGAGAACCTTAATTGAATTGCATTTGCAAAAACTGTATCCAAATAAGGTCACATTCTCTGTCTCAGAGACAGAGACACAGACTGGGACTCTAACTTCTGCCTTCACCAAGGTCTCTGACCTACAAATAGGCTGCATTCCAAAGGACTGTTTGTCACTCAAAATGTGTTTTCCCAAAGAAACAATGCCATAAATGGAGGCTAAGTTCTCAGGCACATCAATCTACAATAGTTTGTATGACCGTCATACAGATAAAATTGCATACAAGTGAATTTCTAAATCATAGTGAATATCGGCCTGGCGCGGTGGCTCACGCCTGTAACCCCAGCACTTTGGGAGGCCGAGGCAGGCGGATCACCTGAGGTCGGGAGTTCGAGACCAGCCTGACCAACATGGAGAAACCCCATCTCTACTAAAAATACAAAAAATTAGCCGGATGTGGTGACGCACGCCTGTAATCCCAGCTACTTGGGAGGCTGAGGCAGGAGAATCGCTTGAACCTGGGAGGCGGAGATTGTGGTGAGCCGAGATCACGCCATTGCACTCCAGCCTGGCAACAAGAGTGAAACTCCATCTCAAAAAAAAAAACAAAACACAGTGAATATCATCACATCTAATAATTAATATTAAAAATCATAAAGTTAAATAGATCATTTTGTGTCTTAAATACTAGTCCACACTTACTTAGAGGGAGATAAGGAGGCAGATGAAATTTTTGATGGAGATGCTAAGGGGCTTCAAAGGATGAGGTCGTGATCTTTGTTTCATTTAATTTCCTATTTTAGGAGTTTCTTTTTTTTAGTGAGGCTTTATGACTAGTGGCACTCTTACACCTGCAAGCTGGTTATGAATCAAGTTGGCAGAAGGAAGAAACAAGGAGAGATTTTTCTGAAACAACCCATTAAATTCCCCTATGCAAAACATTAGCCTATAAAGATTCTTAAATTTTCTGCCTAGACAATGATATCAATTGCTCATAATGACAGTTCTGTTACTTCCTTTTTGACTCTTACATGTTTCATTTCATCTTTCTGTTTTACTGGGCTTGGTAGGCCCCTCGGTACAGTGATGATGTAAATACCCTTTTTTTTCTTTTTGAGACTGAGTTTCGCTCTGTCGCCCAGGCTGGAATGCAGTGGTGCGATCTCAGCTCACTGCAACCTCTGCCTTCTGAGTTCAAGCAATTCTCCTGCCTCAGCCTCCCAAGTAACTGGGCTTACAGGCACATGCCACCATGCCCGGCTAATTTGGAATTTTTAGTAGAGACGGGGTTTCACCATGTTGGCTGGTCTCAAACTCCTGACCTCAAGTGATCCGCCCACCCCAGCCTCCCAAAGTGCTGGGATTGCAGGCATGAGCCACCATGCCCAGCCGTGAATACCCTATCTTGATCCTGATTTTAAAGGAGATACTTTTAACGTTACGTCAGTAACTATGAAGTTTGCTGTCTTTTTGTTTGTTTTTGTCAATGCCTTTCATCATAATAAAGAATTTCTCCTAAAATCCAGGAAGGCTAAGAGTTTTACTCTAGTTTTTGTTTTTTAATCATGAGTAGATATTGAACTTTTTTAACTTTTGAAATAACTATAGGCTCCGATTCCATATAGCCTTCACTGGGTTTCCCTCAATGGTATCATCTGCATCACTATAGTACAAAAGCACAACCAGGAAACTGATATGAATACAACCCATGGATCTTATTCAGATTTCACCAGTTTTACTAACACTCTTCTCTGTGTGTATATTTAATTCTCTGCGATTTTATCACCTGCGTAGATTCATGTAACCACTACCACAGTCAAGACATATTTCAGTCGGGAGGATCCCAGGTGCTTTTGTAGCCATAGCCACCTCCCTCCGCCCCCGCCCCAACCTCTGGTAATCATTAATTTCTTCTGAATCTCTATAACGTTTTCATTTCAAGAATGTTATCTAAATGGAATCATAGAGTATGTACCTTTGGGGATGGCTTTTTATTTTTTCATTCAGAATAATTCCCTTGTGATCTATCCTGGTTGCTGCATGTGTCAATAGTTTGTTTCTTTTTATTGCTGAGTAGTATTCCATGCTATGGATGTATTAATCCCATAGTGTGTTTACCATACATGCATTAAGAGGCATTTGTGTTGTTTCCAGTTTGGGACTGTTATGATTAAAGCCTGCTTTGAACACCCATGTAAAGTTTTTGTGTGAACGTGAGTTTTCATTTTTCTGGGAAAAAAAAAAAGCCCAAGAGTGCAGTTGTCCGTGGCTATATGGTGAGCACATGTTTAGTATTGTAGGAAACTGACACACTGCTTTCCAGAGTGGCTGTACCATTTTACATTCCTACCAGCAATATATGAAATGATCCACTTTCTCCACATCCTCACCATCATTTGGCATTATCACTATTTTTTAAGCCATTATGATAGGTGTGGAGTAAAATTTCACTATGGTTTAGTTTGCACCTCCCCAATGGCTGACGGTGTTGAAGATTATTTCATGCATTTATCTGCCATCTGTATAATTTCTTCAGTGAAATGTCTATTCATGTCTTTTGCCCATTTTCTTACTGGATTGCTTGGTTTTTTTGTTTTTTGTTTTTTAACCGTTGAGTTTTGAGAATTCTTCATATATTCTAGATACAAGTCCTTTGTCTGATATGTCATCTGTAAATATCTTCTCCAAGTCCGTAGCTTGACTTTTCACCTTCTTCATGGGGTCTTTTGCACTGCAATCGTTTTTAATTTTGACGAGGTCTAGTTTATCAATTTAACCTTTTATGGATTGTGCTTTCGGTGCCAAGTCCAAGAATTCTTTGCCTAGATCTAGTTCCCAAAAATTGTCTGCTATAATTTTTTCCAAAATTTTTATAGTTTTGTATTTTACATTAAGTCTTTTATCCATTTTGAGTTAATGTTTGCATAAGCTGTGAGACTTACCCAAGGTATTAGACTCTTTTTTTTTTTTTTTTTTTTTGACCATGAATGTCAAATGGCTCCAGCACCATTTGTTGAAAGACTATCCTTCCTCCATGGAACTGCTGTTGTATTTTTGTCAAAAATCAACTAGCCATATTTCTGTGGGTCTTTTTGTGGGTTATCTGTTCTGGTCCATTGATACATATCTATCCCTCTGCCAATACCACATTGTCTTGATTACTATAGTAATATAGTAAGCCTTAACGTTGCGTAGAGTGGTCCCTTCCTTCCACTTTATTCTTCTTTCACAAGATTGCTTAGGGCCTGTGCCTTTCCATAATAGAATAAGCTTATCTACAAAGATTCTATCTGGGATTCTGACAGAAACTGCATTAAACTTACAGACCAGTTTGGGGAGAATTGACACTTTTTTTTTTTTTTTTTTTTTTTTTTTTGAGATGGAGTCTCACTCTGTCGCCAGGCTGGAGTGCAGTGGCGCAATCTCAGCTCACTGCAAAGTCCATCTCCCTGGTTCAAGCGATTCTCCTGCCTCAGCCTCCTGAGCAGCTGGGATTACAGGTACACCCTACCACACCCAGCTAATTTTTGTATTTTTAGTAGAGACAGGGTTTCACCATGTTGGCCAGGCTGGTCTTGATCTCCTGACCTTGTGATCCACCTGTCTCACCCTCCCAAAGTGCTGGGATTACAGGAGTGAGCCACCACACCCAGCTGAGAGTTGACATCTTTACTGCGTTGAGTTTTCTAATCCAAATAGATGCTGAATTTTCTCAAATGCTTTTTTATATATTGAGATGATCATATATCATTTCTTTTTTAGTATTTTGATATAATGAGTAAAATTTTTATATTGCCTAACATTCAACCAATCTTGCATAATTGGGCTTAATAATTTGTTTGTGCTTACATTTGTGAATGCATGTATCTGTATATGATTGCTACATTGCTAGATTAGGTATACTAAAATTTTATTTAGGATTGGGTTCTAAATCAATGACTGATTTTTCTCTTTCATGCTGTCCTTGCAGTTTTGGCTTTAAAATTACATTATCCTCAGAAAAATGAGTTATTGTTTTCCTTCTATTTTTTAGGAGAGTTTCTTTACAAGTAAAATATTTCTTTGAAGTTTTGTTAGGACACCTCTGTTTGGTTTGGTGTTTCTTTTGCAGGCAAATTATTAACTACTTACCGATTCAAGTTCCTTCATCTTAAATTCATTGGACACATATTTTTCTAGGTCCATATCCATTTACTCTGAGTTTTCAAATATGTTAGCAAAAGTTGTTTGTGATATTCTCTTATCTTTGTAACCAGCTGCAACTGTAGTTACACCTCCCTTTTTAGTACAGGTATCGTGTATTTGTGCCTTCTCTGATTTTTCTTCAATTAACCTTGTTTGAGGTTTGGTTATTTATTTATTTATTGAGACAGAGTCTCGCTCTGTCACCCAGGCTGGAGTGCAGTGGCATGATCTCGGCTCACTGCAACCTCCGCCTCCCGGGTTCAAGTGATTCTCCTGCCTCAGCCTCCCGAGTAGCTGGGATTACAGGCGCCCACCACCATACCTGGCTAATTTTTGTGTTTTTAGTAGAGACAGAGTTTCACCACGTTGGCCAGGCTGGTCTCGAACACCTGACCTCAGGTGATCCGTCCGCCTCAGCCTCCCAAAGTGCTGGGATTACAGGAGTGAGCCACTGCGCCCAGCCAAGAGGTTTGGTAATTTTATTAATGATATCAAAGCTGCTCTGTATTACATGTTTATTTCCTTAATTTCTGCTGTTATATCTTCATTTTTTCCTTCCCTCATTATTTTTTAATTCATTTCACTGTTATGATTCCTACTTCCTAAGGCAAAAGCTTAGCTCATTAACTTTTAGGCTTTCTGCTTTCTGTTTTGTTGGAGTAGGGGGTGAGACTAATGATTTAAAGTGGGAAGGCGGTTGTATACATAATAATCAAACTGTAATGTAATATATACTACACTACAAGTAAATGCATGTTGTTATTTATTAACATATTTAGTTTTTATTTTATACAATTTCAAACATATATAAATAATAATATAATGGACCCCAGGTACCATGGCCCAGCTTCAAAAATGATGAAAATCATGGTCAAATTTGCATCAGAGATGTGGTCACTCACATCTGCCCCATCTTGTGTTATTTTGAGGCAAATTTCAGACACCATATGATTTCATCTATAAACATCTCAATATGTATCTATGAATTATAAAGAGTTTAAAAAAACAAAATGCCATTATCACAACTAAAAAAGTAGTAATAATTACTTCATATCATCAAATACAGACTCAGTGTTCAAATTTTGCAAGTCTTTCTTGTTTTTTGTTTGTTTGTTTTGTTTTTGTTTTTGTTTTTTTGAGACGGAGTCTCGCTCTGTCACCCAGGCTGGAGTGCCCTGGCCCAATCTCGGCTCACTGCAACCTCTGCCTCCCGGGTTCAAGCAATTCTTCCTGCCTCAGCCTCCCGAGTAGCTGGGATTACAGGCACACGCCACTATGCCCAGCTAATTTTTGTATATTTCATTGAGACGGGGTTTCACCATGTTGGCTAGGCTGGTCTCGAACACCTGACCTCAAGTGACCCGCCCACCTCAGCCTCCCAAAATGCTGGGATTACAAGCGTGAGCCACCGCGCCTGGCCCTTGTGCAAGATTTTTTTTCACATCTTTGATTTGTATGAATCAGGATCAAAACAACCCTGACACCTTGCATTTAGCTAATATGTCTTTTAAATGTCTTGTAATCCACAGCTTCTCTCTCCTGTTTATTCTTACAATCTAGTTCTTAAAGAAACTGGGCTACTTGTCCCATAGTTGTACTCATTCTAGGTTTTGCTTATTAAATCTGTATGGTATTGTTTAACAGTTTCCTGAATCCTTTATAATTGCTGTAAACCAGATTAAATTCAGCTTCAAATTTTTGGCAAAAAAAAAAAAAACAACACTTCTTAAGAAGCGTTTAGGTAGGATTGATTAGTGGATTGTTTAAGCCATGCATCATGAAGCACCCTATCAATTTTCACCTAATGGTTTTGGCAATCACTGGTAGTCATTATTAGAGTGACTATAACATTGATAATGTTTTCACCAAAAGAAGAAGATCAACAACTAATCTCACTTAAGAAATATAGCTGCAAAAATCTTTACTAAAATATTAACAAACAAAACTCAAAGTACATTTTTAAATAACATACCAAAACAAAGAGGGGTTTATCCCAGGCAAACAAAGGTGGTTTAATGTTAGAAATTCTATTAATATAATCTACCATATCGGTAGAGCCAAAAAGAAAACCTATACACTCATCTCCATAGATGCAGAAAGACTTTAGAATTCAACTATTTGTGTTAAAAACACATACTTTCTTATGTTGATAAAATACATATTTAAGCCCCAATGCCATTATCTTAGTAAAGACACACTAAAAGTTTTTCCACTAAAGTTTAGAATAACACAAGAATGCCCACAGTCTCCACTATTCCTTAACACTGTGTTGGAAGTATTAGCCAATGCAATTAGAAATGAAATCAATTAGAAGCATAAGAAATGGAAAAGAGAAGGTATTAATAAAACCATTTCTAGTAAATAATGCACCTATAAATAAGAAAAAAATTTTTAAGGAAAAACTCATACAAATAATAAGAACTTTTAATAAAATGACAGGTGATGAGGGTCTCTGATATTTTTAAGATTCTCCTGCTCTCGGGGTTCTCAAAGCTCAGTTGCTCCATCTCTACTCCCTCTGATACACGTGTCATTAATACTTGAGTCTGTCACTGTTGATGTGTTCCCAGACAGTCATGTATGGGGGTTTATAGGGTTACCTTGTCATATTGTCACCTAGTTTTGTTGTAGGTGTGAATCTCTAGTTTTGCTATTGTCGTGGCTCTTTTTGTTTCTATGAGGCAATTTGGGTAGATTCAAACACCACGCCACCTTATCATCCATATTAGGCCATTCTTGCATTGCTATTAAAAAAAAAAAAAAACCTGACATTGGGTAATTTATAAGAAAAGAGATTAAATTGGCTCATGCTTCTGTTGGCCATACAGGAAGCATAACAGCATCTGCTTCTAGGGAAGCCTCTGGAAGCTTCCAATCATGGTGGAAGATGAAGAGGAAGCAGGCATGTCACCTGGCAAAAGCAGGCGTGAGAGAGCAAAGGGGGAGGTGCCGCATCCTTTTAAACAAACAAATCTCATGAGAACTCACTCACTACTTCGAGGACAGTACTGCAAGGAATGGTGCTAAACCGTTCATGAGAAATCTGTCCCCATGATCCAATCACCTCCCACCAGGTTCCACCTCCGACACTAGGGATTACATTTCAGTGAGATTTGGGCAGGGACATCATCCTAAATTTTATCATCGATTCTTCTTTATATCTCCCTGGTCACCTTTGAGAGCCTATTACCCCTTAATCATATTTCCAATTTCTGTGTTATTCCTTCATACGTATTAAACATACTTATTTTATATTATATATCAGACATTTCCAATATTAAAAGGCTCTTCAGGTCTGATTCTGTTGCTTATTGTTTCTGCTGGAATGTATGTGTTTTTTGTTGTTGTTGTTTGTTTCTTTTTTTTTTCTTTTTTTTTTTTTTTTTGAGATGGAGTCTCACTCTGTCACCCAGGCTGGAGTGCAGTGGCGCAATCTAGGCTCACTGCAAGCTCCACCTCCCGGCTTCATGCCATTCTCCTGCCTCAGCCTCCTGAGTAGCTGGGACTACAGGCACCCGCCACCATGCCTGGCTAATTTTTTGTATTTTTAGTAGAGACAGGGCTTCACCGTGTTAGCCAGGAGTGTTTTGTTTTTTGAGCCCATTTTCCCTGGAACTTTGCCGAACCTCTCTGAGACCTACTTGAGGATATTACGCCAGGATAGATTCTTGTTTTCTTTTTTAGATGACTGGAAACATTACAAGTCAGAACTAATTTAAACTAAATTTTCAATTGGGGTTTATTTGCATCACACAGGCAGCGTGAATTCCAGCCTCACACCCACACATGAACCAGTTTATGGTAAATTCTCAATGTAGCCTTTTGTGTTTTAGCCCCTAAACCCAGAACCAAAGTTAAAACAAACAAGTTTCCTCGTGGCCTACTTTTTTGGGTGCCTTTTCTTTTTTCTAGTTTACCTTTTCACAGAGAATTTGGACATTAGAGATCCAGCCTTACTCTGAGGTTTCTAAACTGACTCCCAACTTGTATGAACCCAAAGCGTTGTCCCTTATCCCCCATGCCCCTATGTGGCCTTTGAAATTGAAATTCTTATCAGCAGAGGTTGGCGGGTGCCCTTAAGACATATACCATTAGGACAAAGGGTTAGAAGTCTTTATCTCGCTTTTGTTTTTGACTTTTTAAAAAAAATTCTTACTCTTCCTAACTTAATTTTCTATCTTACTCTCCAGAAAGACACAGTATAGAAATTGCATATACTTTCTGTGTTCTGAACATTTGTGTCCCCCCCAAATTCATATGTTCAAACCTAACAACCAATCTGATAGTATTAAGAGGTAGGGACTTTGGGAGGTGATTAGATCATGAGTGCAGAACCCTCATAAGTAGGATTAGGGCCCTCATAAAAGAGGCCCAGAGCTTGTTGGCCCATTTTGCCATGTGAGAGAACACAGCAAGAAGGCACCATCTATAAGGAAGCAGACCCTTCCCAGATGCCGCAGACACCTTGATCTTGGACTTCCCAGCCTCTAGAACTGTGAGAAGTAAATTTCTGTTGTTTACAAGTTACCCAGCCTGTTTGAGTAACTGAGATACACGCAGACTGAGATAACACTTTCTCTGTCTAGCAATCCTGCAAGTATAACAAAGAAAGTGGTGCTGCTATGGGACATTATTGCCACTCTCTCCTTCCATGAGGTTATCATTGAAGGCCTCTGGAAAGAGATAAAGCATTCTCATTTTTCACCTTTTCCCCCAGACCACTCAAAGAGGGTGGAAGAGCTGTCATTAAGCCCTAAAGTGGGCTGTAAAGAGAGGCCCCTGCAGTATGCAGATGAAACAAGGAAGAGTCTAAGTGGGAAGAGGAAGAGATTAAGAGACCGGCGGGTGAGCATCATGCCTATGCCATGATAACCTCCAAATTCACCAAGAGCCTCATTTGGGGTGTTTTCCTCAGGTCTTCTAGGGACAGACTCACCCTTCACCAGTATTACACCCTCAACAGCGAGACTGGGCTGCTTATCAGCATCATGTCCACCAATGAGACCCTCCCCAAGTGCTAATCACTACATTCCTATCATCATCTCTAAAGATGTGGTCAAAGGCTTTTCTTCTCTGCTCACAAACACATTCCGCAAAGTGATGAATCATAGCCTAGACTGGAGATCTAGTCTACCCAACAGGTCAAATACACATCCTGAAAGCTACAAAGCAAAAGTTAAAGCTAAAGTGACTTTAACCAAAGAAAGGGGTAGAGAAGGAACACTGGCCTCAGTTCACGGTACCATTTGAGTGCTCACTCCTACCTTGGCCTTGGGGACACTAAATAGCACTCTTCCTCCTGGTTCCCGTTCGAGCATCAGGAGTCTTATTCTTGTTCCAGCCAAGTCCAGCCTCATAAATGTTGGTGTTTCCATAGAGTGGAGCCCTTATTCTCTCTTGCTTTCCTTTCCCTTTTCCTGCAACACAAGCTGACTCCATTGTTTTCTCTGCTAAAGCAGTTCCCAAAATTAATTGTAAATGAATGCATATGGCTGTGTATAAATAAAACTTTATAAAAACAGGCAGTGAGCTAGGTTTAGTCAACCACTGTTATAAAGGGATATTAAAATCAAATTGGCTTCAGTCAGCCAATTTGCCTGAGCCTCTGACTCATACAGCAAATTCTCTAATAGACATCTCATAAGCACCTCAACATTTTCTACAAAATGGGACTCATCATCCTTCTTTCTAAAACCTGCTCCTTTCCCTGAAATCTACACCTGGTCACCCTTCACCCAACAGAGCAGACAGCAGGCTTCACCTGCCCACTCCACATGCATTTAGCTCCAGGCTCTACCAGTTCTCTTTCACAAGGGCTGTCGAAACTGCCCACTCTTCTTTATCTTATCCATTCATTTATTCGACACAGTTTTATGGTGGTGAGTCACTAGTGGACCAACATTATTTTTGCTTTCTAAAAACAGCACATACAGAATATAAAGATGGCCCACACTGAATCTCCTTTCCTGCCTTTCAAAGAAGACACTCACTAAACAATTTAACTCTTGACTGCCTACATACTTGATTTCATCACAAATGTAGAAATAAGGACATTTGGCATCATGGTGTGCCCATGCTGTTTGGAAAATGCCTTGTGTGTTCAGTCATCCAAGAGGCAAGCACGCTGGGCTTCGTTTCTACAACAAAGACATAGGCACCCGTCACCCTGTATGTGTGTATCACATACCTAAAGCATTTAAGCATCATAATTTACAGCACACACTGCATACAGTTTTAAACCCAAACGAGATAGTCCTGAAGGTTTGCAGGACAAGAGCAATTTGTGATGGTTATTTGTATTTTGGCTTAAATTGTAATGTGAGTCACTTTTATTTTGGTCTGATCAGTATTTCCTGATTTATATAAATAATATATATGTTTAAAAACTCTATATGTATGACACCTCTGTTTCTCATAATTTTTCAGCACACTTGATTTTAATATCCCTTTATAACAGAGGTTGACTAAACCCAGACCACTGCCTGTTTCTATAAATAAAATTTTATTTATACACATCCATAGGCATTCATTTACATGTGGTCTATGGCTGCATTGGTGCTAAAATGGCTGAGTTGCATACTTAACAACAGAGACCCCCAAAGCCTAAAATATTAACCATCTGGTCTTTAATAAAAAGAGTTTGCCAACTTCTGTCTTATAGCATTATTATGGACTTAAGGCTGTAGTCATTGCTTTTCATAGTCAATTTGCTTCTCTTCTCACACTTCTCTTCTCACACTGACCACTGTGTTCTTCTCAACAATGTTCTCCAACAGTCACAAGATACAACAGTACCAGGTTGCCTCCTGGTATGGTTTGGCTCTGTGTCCCCACCAAAATCTTATCTTGAATTATATTCCCATAATTTCCACGTGTTGCGGGAGGGACCCTGTGGGAGATAATTGAATCATGGGGGCAGTTTCCCCCAAACTGTTCTTGTGGTAGTGAATAAATATCTCAAAGATCTGATGGTTTTTTTTCTTTTTTAAATTTTACTTTAAGTTCTGGGATACATGTACTGAACATGCAGGTTTATTACATAGCTATACATGTGCCATGGTGGTTTGCTGCATCATCATGCAGGTTTTAAGTCCTGCATGCATTAGGTATTTTTCCCAATGCTCTCCCTCCCCTTCCCCCCTACCACCCAACAGGCCCCAGTGTGTGATGTTCCCCTCCCTGGGTCCATGTGTTCTCATTGTTCAACTCCCACTTGTTAGTGAGAACATGTGGTGTTTGGTTTTCTATTCCTGTGTTAGTTTGCTGAGGATGATGGTTTCCAGCTTCATCCATGTCCCTGCAAAGGACATGAACTCATTTTTTATGGCTGCATAGTATTCCATGGTGTATATGTGCCACATTTTCTTTATCCAGTCCATAACTGATGGGCATTTGGGTTGGTTGCAAGTCTTTGCTATTGTAAATAGTGCTGCAATAAACATACGTGTGCCTGTGTCTTTATGGTAGAATGATTTATAATCCTTTGGGTATATACCCAGTAATGGGATTGCTGGGTCAAATGGTATTTCTGGTTCTAGATCCTTGAAGAATTGCCACACTGTCTTCTACAATGGTTGAACTAATTTACACTCCCACCAACAGTGTAAAAGCATTCCTATTTCTCCACAATCTCGCCAGCATCTGTTGTTTCCCAACTTCTTAGTGATTGCCATTCTAACTGGTGTGAGATGGCATCTCAGTGTGGTTTTGATTTGCATTTCTCTAATGACCAGTGATGATGACCTTTTTTTCATAAGTTTGTTGGCCACATAAATATCTTCTTTTGAGAAGTGTCTGTTCGTATCCTTTGCCCACTTTTCAATGGGGCTGTTTGTTTTTGTCTTGTAAATTTGCTTAAGTTCCTTGTCGATTCTGGATATTAATTAGACCTTTGTCAGATGGATAGATTGCAAAAATTTTCTCCCATTCTGTAGGTTGCCTGTTCACTCTGATGATAGTTTCTTTTGCTGAGCAGAAGCTCTTTAGTTTAATTAGATCAATTTTAGCTTTTGTTGCAATTGCTTTTGGTGTTTTAGTCATGAAGTCTTTGCCCATGCCTATGTCCTGAACCGTATTGCCTAGGTTTTCTTCTAGGGTTTTTATGGTTTTAGGTTTTACATGTAAGTCGTTAATCCATCTTGAGTTAATTTTTGTATAAGGTGTGAGGAAGGGTTCCAGTTTCTGTTTTCTGCATATGGCTAGCCAGTTTTCCCAGCACCATTTATTAAATAGGGAATCCTTTCCCCATTGCTTGTTTTTGTCAGGTTTGTTGAAGATCAGATGGTTGTAGATGTGTGGTGTTATTTCTGAGGCCTCTGTTCTGTTCCATTGGCCTATATATCTGTTTTGGTACCAGTAACATGCTGTTTTGGTTACTGTAGCCTTGTAGTATAATTTGAAGTCAAGTAGCACGATGCCTCCAGCTTTGTTCTTTTGGCTTAGCATTGTCTTGGGTATATGGGCTCTTTTTTGGTTCCATATGAAATTTAAAGTAGCTTTTTCTAGTTCTATGAAGAAAGTCAATGGTAACTTGATGGGAATAGCATTGAATCTGTAAATTACTTTGGGCAGTATAGCCATTTTCACAATATTGATTCTGCCTATCCAAGAGCATGGAATTTTTTCCATTTGTTTGTGTCCTGTCTTATTTCCTTGAGCAGTGGTTTGTAGTTCTCCTTGAAGAGGTCCTTCACATCCCTTGTAAGCTGTATTCCCAGGTATTTTATTTTCTTTGTAGCAATTGTGAATGGGAGTTCACTCATGATTTGGCTCTCTCCTTGTCTATTATTGGTGTATAGGAATGCTTGTGATTTTTGCACATCGATTTTGTATCATGAGACTTTGCTGAAGTTGTTTACCAGCTTAAGGAGTTTTGGGGCTGGGACAATGGGGTTTTCTAAATATACAATCATGTCATCTGCAAACAGAGATAATTTGACTTCCTCTCTTCCTATTTGAATACGCTTTATTTCTTTCTCTTGCCTGATTGTCCTGGCCAGAACTTCCAATACTACGTTGAATAGGAGTGGTGAGAGAGGGCATCCTTTTTTTGTGCTGGTTTTCAAAGCGAATGCTTCCAGCTTTTGCCTACTCAGTATGATATTGGCTATGGGTTTGTCATAAATAGCTCTTACTATTTTGAGATATGTTCTGAGATAGGTTGGTTTTATCAGGGGTTTCCGCGTTTGCATCTTCCTCATTCTCTTGGCCTGCTGACATCCATGTAAGATGAGACTTGCTCCTCCTTGCCTTCTGCCATGATTGTGAGGTTTCCCCAGCCATGTGGAACTGTAAGTCCAGTTAAATCTCTTTCTTTTGTAAATTGCCTACACTTGGGTATGTCTTTATCAGCAGTGTGAAAATGGACTAATACACCTCCCTTGTTCTAATATCCAACTCCTGGTTCCCCTTTCATAAAATATAGCTGTAAAAGAAAAATAAATCCTAAATAATCACTAAGCTAAAGGGAAAAGTCAAGCTGGGAACTGCTTAGGGCAAACCTGCCTCCCATAGTATCCCTCTGCTCACTGAGATAGATGCATATCTGATTGCCTCCTTTGGAAAGGCTAACCAGAAACTCAAAAGAATGCAACCATTTGTCTCTCAGCTACCTGTGACCTGGAAGCTCCCTCCCTGCTTCGAGTTGTCCCTCCTTTCTGGACGGAACCAATGTACATCTTACATATACTGATTGATGTCTCATGTCTCACTAAAATGTATAAAACCAAGCTGTGCCCCGACCACCTTGGGCACATGTCATCAGGACCTCCTGAGGCTGTGCCATGGGTGCATGTTCTCAACCTTGGCAAAATAAACTTTCTAAATTAACTAAGACCTGTCTCAGATTTTCAGGGTTCACAAGCGTAAGCGTATCATCCCAAGGACCAGAAGTACATTTTATTTTTTATTTTTTAAATTGACCATCTTTACTATTTTTAAGTCAATAGTTCTGTGGTAATAAATACATTTATATCCTTTTTTTCCCCTTCATCTCTCCATCTCTCTCCCCTTTCCAGGCTCTGGTAGACACCAATCTTCTCTGTACCATCATGATATCCACTTTTTTAACTCCTACATATAAGTGAGAATGTGATATTTATCTTTCTGTGCCTGGCTTCTTTCATTTAACATAATGGCCTCCAGTTTCATCCACATTGCTGCAAATGACAGGATTTCATTCTTTTCGTGGCTGAATAACATCCCACCATCTATATAAACCATATTTTTGGCCAGGCATGGTGGCTGTAATCCCAGCACTTTGGGAGGCCAGGGTACGCAGATCACTTGAGATCAGGAGGTCAAGAACAGCCTGGCCAACATGGCAAAACCCGGTCTCTACTAAAAATACACAAATTAGCCAGGCGTGGTGGCACACCCCTGTAATCCCAGTTACTTGGGAGGCTGAGGCACGAGAATCACTTGAACCCGGGAGGCAAAGGTGCAGTGAGCTGAGATTGCACCACTGCACTCCAGCCTGAGTGACAGAGTGAGACTCTATCCCCAAAAAATAAATAATGAAAATAAATTACATTTTCTTTGTCCGTTCATATGTTGATGGGCCAGAAGGACATATTTTTGTATTATTCCTCTGATTAGTGATTAATTCAGCAAATACTTCTTGTCTCCCACATGCACCAGGAATAGTGTGGCGTGAAGCACCACCTCAGTCCCTGACCCTATGGAATTTTAGGATGAGTGGGAAAAACAGATGTTGGGCAATAACAGCAAAAGTGAGGCGCCATCAAAAGGAAGTGCATGGGAAACCAGAGCGCACAAAAAGAGGTCAGGGCCAAGTCTGGGATGTCCAAAAAGATCACCCGGATGAACTGATACTGACATTTAAGCCAAGACCTAGAGGATGAACAAGAGCAAGCTTGGGAGAAGCAGGTAGGCACGGGCAACAACAACAAATAAAAAGGCGGGGGGGTAAGCTTCTCCAGACACAGGAAACAGGGCTGAGTACATAAGCCACCTGAAGCTAGTGAAAGCAACCGGTAGAGCCTGATTCTTTGTCTATTTTGTCTTCCTTAAGGACTTCAAAGTGACACAGAAGCCTCAGAACCACCAGCGGCTTGAGGAGATTCACCCATTCATTCAGTCAGCACATGTTCACTCATGGCCCACAACGTGCCCAGGGTTATTCCAGGTGCTAGAAATTCAAAGCCAAACAACACAAAGTCCTAACCTGCTCTGCTTCTCTGAGGCGGGAGGAAAAAATGCCCCCAGAGGGAGAATCACTCACGAAGGATGAAAGCAGCCACCTGGCAGATGAGTGGAGCCCTGGTTACTAGCTAAGTTGAGATTAACTCAAGGGACATGTCAGGGGTCATTGACCTGACTAGCAGAGGAATTGGATTTACTTTGGGAAATATATTAGGATTTTAAAGACAGCAAAAAGAATTTTACTTAGCAGGTAAGACTATTCATTTTAGGACTGAATCGGTGAATTTGGGAGAGTTTGAGGCTTGATCAAAAAGAGGTGGTGATGAATTAGCCATTCCAGTAAAAGTAGCCAACAGACTTAATATTGGACATCCAGAAAGTGTAGTAAGGAATGCTGACAAGGGGAGGGGCTGGCTAGCCACATACAGGATGCTGTTAATTTTTTTTTTTTTTGAGATGGAGTCTCGCTCTGTCACCCAGGCTGGAGTGCAGTGGCACAATCTCGGCTCACTGCAAGCTCCACCTCTCAGGTTCATGCCATTCTCCTGTCTCAGCCTCTCGAGTAGCTGGGACTACAGGTGCCCACCACCAGGCCCAGCTAATTTTTTGTATTTTTTAGTAGAGACAGGGTTTCACCATGTTAGCCGAGATGGTCTCAATCTCCTGACCTTGTGATCCGCCCACCTCAGCCTCCCAAAGTGCTGGAATTACAGGCATGAGCCACCACGCCCAGCGATGCTGTTTATTTTTAGTAAAGGATCAGAACCATATGAGAGCTGCTCAAAACATACTAGGAATACAGCTAAAAATAGGATTTCATATGCAGGAGCTGGTCAGAAATGTTTCAGGTAAGGAGAACAATGCCTTTTGTTTACCTACAGAAATGTTAAGAGCATAACCTTTATATTACCAGTGCCTTTCGCAAAATAGGTTTAAAAACAAAATAGATGAAGGAAGGGAAGAAAATCATCTAGACACGGCAGGAAATCATCACATCGTAAAACACTGCTGTGGCAGCCTTGGGGATCCAGATAAAGGCAGGGATGTGGCTGAGGATGTAAAAGAACAAAGAGGTATTTCTAAGAGAGATCACAATGAGATGGGAAAATTTAAGGAATTACATGGGAAACAGAAGGAAATCAACTAAATAGTTAAGAATGAGCAAAGGGGCTGGGCGCCATGGCTCACACCTGTAATCCCAGTACTTTGGGAGGCCAAGGTGGGAGGATGGCTTGAGCCCAGGAGTTCGAGACCAGCCTGGGCAACAAACCAAGACTCTGTCTCTACAAAAAATACAAAAATTAGCTGGGCGTGGTGGTGTGTACCTGTAGTCCCAGCTACTTGGGAGGCTGAGGTGGTAGGATCACCTGAGCCCAGGTAGGTCGAGGCTGCAGTAAGCCATGATTGCACCACTGCACTCCAGACTGGGTGACAGGGTGAGATCTTGTCTCAAATAAAAATAAAAATAAAATAATCAGCAAAGGGTTCTAAAAGTAAAAGTCGGGGTGAAAATGGCTATACTGTGCCAACAGAAGGGTCTAGTGAAATTCATGCAAATAAAAACCAAAAAGAATGAGAAGAGCAGGCCACTGTAGACCAAGCTAAAGACCCACAATGAGAACAGAAGAGGAAGGAGGCCAGTGGAGAGCCAGAGGGGAGAGAAAAGGGGGCTAAACATGAAAAGAAGAAGGAAAATGGTTGTTCAGATTCTTGAAGCAATTATGAAAGTCACAAACACAGATAAAGCTCAGCTCAAGGAAAGATCGTGTGCCGCCTGGAGCATGAAAACACAGTCGTGAACTTTAGCCCACAGGAGTCTCAAAGAAAATGAGAGACGATCTGTTTGTTTCTCTTAGCTGCTTACAAAGAGAACTATACCCATGAAGGCATTTCTTTAAAAGTTGTCTCACCAATTAACAAAAATAGAAGAGAAGGGTACAGAAATGACAACTGTACTGAAGAACATATTTTAAAAGTTTGGAATCGTTTTTGGTTGAAAGGTCTATGATCACAATGCAAACTTGAAATGTGAAAAAGTGCATCTGTGAAGGTTTATGCTACTTCTACCCTCTGCAGTAGCAGAGAAGGAGAGAGGAAGGAAAAACAGAAATATGTGTGAAAGATGAAACGATTTCAGGCTTTGAAACTCTCCTGAGTACAAGAAAGGTGACAATGAATTTTGCTGATGTTGGACAAAGTTGATCATGCTAGAAATGACCAAACTCGAAGTCAAAATGAAGCCAAATCCAGACAGGCAAGGTTAAACGTCCAAGATGAAATTGCCCCTTTTCTATAAACTGTATCTACAATACTACAACGTGCTATGATTACAAAAACAGAGGGAGAACAAGTAGAACAGCATTTATATTTAGGAAAAGGCAGGATAAAGTAAAATGTATTGTATTTCATGATCACACTAACAATTATCAGAATTACCTTCTCAGAAGTGGGACACTGTAGAAGAGGAATATGGAAATTAACAAATTCCTATAGTGGAAGAGGATAAATTACATGAGGAGTGATAAAAATCTCACTTTTTTTAATGAGGTCGGCATAACTCTGATACCAAAACCTGACTGAGATTACATGAAAAAAAACTATAGACCAATATCCCTCATGAACATAGATGCAAAAATCTGTATATGATTTGATCCAGCAATCCCACTTGGAGCAGTTTATCCTAACGAAGCCCCCTTAGAGCTGTACAAAGATAGGAACAGACAGGCTTGTTCATCACAGCGTTATGCTTTTGTTGTTGTTTGATTAAACTTTTTAAAATTAAACTTTTAATTTTAAGATAATTATAGATTCATGTGTCATTGTAAAAACTGAGAAGAAATTCCCACATATCCTTTACCCAGTTTCCCCCAATACTAACATCCTGCAAATTTTCAGTACAGTATCACAACCATGATGTTGACATTGATACAAAGTAATTTTGGATATGCACATTGAAAAAGGACCTAGAAATTATGGAGAAATTTCCACTGAAGACTAATTTCTGTTCTGCATTAATGCTAAGTTAATGAGTATATCACTTCCAAAGGCAAGGAAAAAAGTTTTCATCCACTGTGTTTATCCACTCTTTCATTGTATTAGCTCTGGAAAGTAATTTTTGTTTATTCAGCATTTGGACATGCTACATAAACGTGCTTCATAATACATCATCGGTTTCTTTTTCTGACAAAGATAAACAAATGCATCATGAATGAAGGAAAGGTTTTGTCTTACCCCTCATTTTAAACCCCACCTAGCACCCTTCCCCTTGGGGTCTTCCCTCTTGAGAGCCAGTGGACTTGAGCATGGAAAAGCAGTGTTTTGTCATCTCTGCCCATTTCTTCTCCTGGCATGTTGCAAAGATGTATGCTGAGCTGAGAAGCATACACAGTCACATTGATTACATAGTCACGTTTTTAAAAATTCCTTCCTTCAGTGCTAAAGGTCAGAGGCATATCACTGACTGCCAGCTGTTTTCTGAGAATAGAGCAATTCTCTTTTTAAGCTGATTTTGATTGACATTTGGGTTGCCACTTCGGTGAACCTCTTTGGGCACTCACATAGCTGTTGTTCCATGAACTCTGCTCCAGTGCACATTGTCTAGTCTGTATCACGGCACACAAAGTCACCAATAACACGGCTTCATAAACTTCTTCTGTAGCGTGAATTTTCAATGATAAGAAGAACAAATTGCCATCAAGTGCTTCTCCTGTTCTCTTTTTCAAGAACTGACTCATACTTTATATGCAGCAAACTTATACTGCTATAAAGCAAAACTATTGCTGTGCTCTTCTGTATTTTATGCCATATAAATGATGTGACATCTTACAGAGTCATATGATTTAGGAATTTAGCCAGTAGTTTGTTCTATTTTTCTCTCTGAGCTCAGAACTATGTGGCACTCACTTTTGCAGCTGGTTTTATAAGTTCTCCCACAACTGTGTAACTAATAGTATTCTTGCTATGGAAAGTATAACGGGGTAAACTTTGAATGAACTTTGAGGAGTTTTGGTCTCATCTCCACTTTTAGTAATGAAATTTATTTATTTCATGCTGGGAGACTTATTTTGTCTTTGAAGGGAGCATGAAAAGAAAAACTTGGTTTATTAAGGTGGTTGCTGTATATTGTTAGAAAATGATGTGGACAAATTAACAGTTTCATGTTACTAACTTGAAAAGTTGTGGCTGGGTGTGGTGGCTCAAGCCTGTAATCCCAGCACTTTGGAAGGCCGAGAAGGGTGGATCACTTGAGGTCAGGAGTTCAAGACCAGCCTGGCCAACATGGTGAAATCACATCTTTACTAAAAATACAAAAATTAGCCGGATGTGGTGGGGTGCACCTGTAGTAATAGTTACTGAGGAGGCTAAGGCAGGAGAATTGCTTAAACCCAAGAGGTGGAGGTTGCAGTGAGCCAAGATGGTGCCACTGCACTCCAGCCTGGGCAACAGAAGCTCTGTTTCAAAAAAAAAAAAAAAGCCAGGTATGGTGGCACATGCCTGTAATCTCAGCTACTTAGGAGGCTGAGGCAGGAGAATCGCTTGAACCCAGGAGGCGGAGCTTGCAGTGAGCCGAGATCGCGCCACTGCACTCCAGCCTGGGCGACAGAGCCAGGCTTCATCTCAAAAAGGAAAAAAGTTTTGGAAGAAAATAAACTGAGAGTAGGTTGCAAATGGGCCAGTAAAACGGAGGGGTTTTTTTGGTATTTTTTTAACTGCATTTCCCATCTGTAATTCTCTTGTTAGGCTGATTTTGATCATCATTCCCCTCCCAGATATGTTTTTTCCAGTTCATACAGATCTGCATTCTGCAGTTCCACATTCACTTCAGATGTTTACCTTTTGTAAACCAAAAATACAATTCTAAGCCGCTCATCCGACTGAATGGACTCCTCCTCTTAGCCAAGGGGATTTCAAAGTAAATCTGAAATACTAATTCAGGCCATGATGGGAAGGAGAGGTAGGGCATGCCTCCTGATACCTTCCTCCCTTTGGAGTTCAGGCACAATTGACCAGCATTAACATCAAAACAGAAATCTTAAGACTGACAAAACAGACCCTCTGTGGCAGTAAGATACCAAATTCCAACCTGATTCCAGTATAGCATCACATGACAGATAGCAGGTCCTAAAAGAAATCAAGATACTTTACTCCAAAATACATTTCTTTGACATATTTTGAAGTGGCCCTGCAAAGCTGTCTCTTGTGGGGGAAATTTACATTCTGTACAGAATCTCAGTCCCTCTCCAGGTCTTTTTCTGATCCTGAGATTAGCTGAGAGTCCAGCAACTTTTAAAGGTCTGAATAGGAAACATTTGCCATCTACTGCCACTAAAGGTGTCCACCTATGAGACTTCATCTACATAATAAGAACCTTGGTCTCTACAACCCCTTATCTTAACCCAGACACTCCTTTTTGTTGACTCTGGGTATTTAGATAGTAATTTGACTCTGTCAATCAACTGTCGATCAGGGAATCTTTGAACCACCCATGACCTGGAAGTCCCTGCATCAAGACGTCCCATCTCTCCAGGCCAAACCAATGTAAACTTTACATGTATTTGATGTGGGCAGGCAGGCGAGCCTGGAAATTGGGGCTTAGCCCAGCAGCGTTCTTGGCTTCACCCAGGAAAGAATTCAAGGGGAAGCTGGTAGTGTTAGGCAGCAATCTTTTTTTTTTTTTTTTTTTGAGACAGTTTTGCTTTGTCACCCAGGCTGGAGTGCAGTGGCGTGATCTCAGCTCACTGCAAGCTCCACCTCCCAGCTTCACGCCATTCTCCTGCCTCAGCCTCCCGAGTAGCTGGGACTACAGGTGCCTGCCACCATGCCCAGCTAATTTTTTGTATTTTTAGTAGAGATGGGGTTTCACCGTGTTAGCCAGGATGGTCTCGATCTCCTGATCTCATGATCCACCCGCCTCAGCCTCCCAAAGTGCTGGGATTACAGGCGTGAGCCACCGCGCCCAGCCGACAGCAATCTTTTATTGAACCAGAGCTGCTCTTTGTGGATGAGGTCTAACTCCTATACAGCGTGCTCAGAGTAGCAGATCATGGGATGTTGGCAGCTGTACTTATGCCCACTTTTAATTACATGCAAATTAAAGGGTGGATTATTCAGAAATCTCTAGAAAAGGGGCGGTAACTTCTGGGTCATTGCCCTGGCATTTGCAAACAGTCATGATGCTAGTGGGAGTGTCTTATGCTAATGAGCAGCAAGGGCAATGAGTGGTTGCCTTCAGTGCCGCCTGCTGGTTCCTACTTCACTTCAGTTGGGCGCCATCTGCTGGTTGTTGCCAGTTTCTTTACTTCATCCTGTCAGACCCGCTAGTCTCCTACCTCATATTGATTGATGTCTGCCTGTAACCTCTGTCCCCTTAAAATGCATAAAATCGAACTGTAACCCAAACACCTTGGGCATATGTTCTCGGGACCTCCTGGGGCTGTGTCATGGGTCATGGTCCTCACATTTGGCTAGGAATCAATTTTTTCAAATATTTTACAAAGTTTGGCTTTTTTCATCAACAATTTTTATTTTAATCCCTTTTGAATCATCGATCCATTCTTGTGCATAGAGGATATGACATAACAGCAATTTTGAAAAATTCAACTTTAACAAACAATGATGTGTAAACTATACAGAAAGATATCGGAGGCAAACTGCCTCCTATTAAGTAATGCTAACTGACATGAGCTGACCAACAGGTTCCTTGCACCGCGTGGTCAGCCCCTCCGTCCAGCTTCTCCTCTGGAAATAGACAAGATCATTGTGAGAATGAGAAATATTCTTTGGAAGGGACCTGCCTGGTACACAGTGAATTATCCAAAAGAATGGCTGTAACTGTAGTGAAAACAGTGCTCAGAAAGTGAAATGAAAAACCAAGATGTTTCTTATGAACTCTCAAGAACAAGGAGAAGTAAGAGAGTAGAAGAAGCGGACAGAAGCATCCAGAACCTGACCCAGCAGCTGCGGGTGAGCAACGCACTCCATCAAGCACAAGAGAAGAACAACAGAAGTGGTTTGGAGTCTGAAGGACACAGGCTGAGTTCTCAGACGCTGCCGAGCAGAACAACTGTGCTTCAAGTGAGGACTGCAACAAAGCAAGAAATGCTCACAGATTCTAAAGAGGCAAAAGGATCCATAAGGGAATTCAACTCAAGTGGGGCAAACACGTCATGCAAGCAGACTGACTATTCTTGGAAATTTCTAGGAAAATTAGAAATTCTCAGGTCAGGACTGGGTAAGGTACTGCATACCCAAAATTTAAGGGAGCACCAAAAATCTCAGTAATTGAGATAAATAATAGTTTAATGCAGAAAAAAAACCCCGCTATGAACAAAATATCATGATTTTAAATAAAGACAGAACCAGTACTAGTTTTTCCTTTGCTTCTGGCTCCAATCACTCAGCAGGCACTGATTCTAAGTATATGCCATTTTCTCTCCCCTAGTTGACTTTCTCAATCTCTCTACCCCAGCCCAGCTGGCTCTTGCTAATCCTACACGTGAGACAATGACAGTTATCTTTGTGCTTAACCCCAGTGCATGGGCATACAGATTCCATCACCTGTTATTAAAAATGCAGTTTCTTTTTCCTCCCATTAATCCATGAAGTCAAAATCTCTCTGAGGGTGAGGCCCTCCCCAGATGAGGCCTACGCATGTTGGAATTTGAGAGTCACAGTTCTAGGGCACTCTGTGTCCCTAGCTTTCTTAACATGAGTTCTGAAAAATCCTTTTTCCCTTAGTCAACAGAGAAATAAAACTTTTCAAAAGGAACATCAACTACAAGACTGAAAGGGGCTGGGCATGGTGGCTTACGCCTATAATCCCAGCACTTTAAGAGGCCAAGGCGGGTGGATCACTTCAGGTCAGGAGTTTGAGACCAGCCTGGCCAACATGGTGAGACCCCATCTCTACTAAAAATACAACAATCAGCTGAGCATGGTGGTGCGCGCCTGTAATCCCAGCTACTCGGGAGGCTGAGGTACGAGAATCGCTTGAACCCAGGAGATGGAGGTTGCAGTGAGCTGAGATCATGCCACTGCACTCCAGCCTGGGCAACAGAGCAAGACTCTGTATCAAAAAAAAAAAAAAAAAAGACTAAATGGGAAAAGCAAAACTTTCAATGACTATGTAAAAGCATAGAAACAGATGATTTTGCAAAGCACATACTTCTCCACAGAAAATTCATGTTTAGTCAAAGATGGAAGTGTGCCCAGATGGTTTTGTTTCCTGGTTACTTTTTTCCCTCAGTCCAATCTCTAATACAGACGCATCTTCAGAGATATTCTTCAAAAACAATGTTCCATGGTCAGATAAGTTTGGGAAACACTGCATACTCTAACTCCATCTAGAAGTTTAACTTTTACATCAGTGTATAAAAATCCAGCGATAAAGAAATGTGCTTATCTTGGCTTAACCCAGACCTTTCAAAGTTTATTCCAACACAGAATCATTTTTTTAATCAATCAAATTTTCATTTCAAAAAATTTACATAACCACCTTGAAAGGAAGAAACAAATCCAAGTAACTTTTCTTTAAAGTTTCTTTATGCTACTTTATTTCTAATTACTTGGCATTTTATATCAATTGTTTACATTTTTATATTAAAAGATGCATAGTTTTTTAAATTGTGGTAAAAATGTACGTTAACCACTTTCAAGCATACCATTCAGTAGTGTTAAGAATTTTCACCCTGTTAGGCCGGGCACGGTGGCTCACGCCTGTAATCCCAGCACTTTGGGAGGCTGAGGCAGGCAGACCATGAGGTCAGGAGATCAAGACCATCCTGGCTAACATGGTGAAACCCCGTCTCTACTAAAAAATACAAAAAAATTAGCTGGGCATGGTGGTGGGCACCTGTAGTCCCAGCTACTCAAGAGGCTGAGGCAGGAGAATGGCATGAACCTGGGAGGCAGAGCTTGCAGTGAGCCAAGATCCCTCCCGTCCCTGCACTCCAGCCTGGGCGACAGAGCGAGACTCTGTCTCAAAACAAACAAACAAACAAACAAACAAACAAACAAAAACTGAGTGTGTGAATCCTTCTATGGAGAAACAAAGCCCCCAAAAAAGTATCATCAAGAGTTTTGCAGAAGATGTAGAAATGTTCTTTGTGTAGCTCTTTCTAATACTGACCCTCAATAAATGTGAAGCTAAAATATGAACATGTAACTAAGTAATGGTGTCTAAATTGATGTGGTAGAATGTGGACTACAGAAGAACTTTCCAGAAGTAGTTATAAATTACAGAATGGTGGTTATAAAAATGAACCTTAATTTCCTGTCAGTAGAACATAAGGTCATAATATTAATAAACTGACCACTCTCGTGGCCTTCCCAGGAAACCACAGTCTTCACATTTTTATGTTTTATGTCATGCTGTACTTTTCTTCATACTTTTCAGTTTTCATTTGTTTGCAACATAGGACAACGCTGTAATTTTTTGTTACAATTTGGCAAAACCATACCAAATTGTAAAGACCATCGATGCTAGGAAGAAACTGCATCAACTAACAAGCAAAATAACCAGCTAACATCATAATGACAGGATCAAATTCACACATAACAATATTAACCTTAAATGTAAATGGGCTAAATGCTCCAGTTAAAAGACACAGACTGGCAAATTGGATAAAGAGTCAAGACCCATCAGTGTGCTGTATTCAGGAGACCCATCTCACGTGCAGAGACACACATAGGCTCAAAATAAAGGGATGGAGGAAGATCTACCAAGAAAATGGAAAACAAAAAAAGGCAGGGGTTGCAATCCTAGTCTCTGACAAAACAGACTTTAAACCAGCAAAGATCAAAAGAGACAAAGAAGGCCATTACATAATGGTAAAGGGATCAATTCAACAAGAAGAGCAAACTATCCTAAATATATATGCATCCAATACAGGAGCACCCAGATTCATAAAGCAAGTCCTTAGAGACCTACAAAGAGACTTAGACTCCCACACAATAATAATGGGAGACTTAACACCCCACTGTCAACATTAGACAGATCAACGAGACAGAAAGTTAACAAGGATATCCAGGAATTGAACTCAGCTCTGCACCAAGTGGACCTAATAGACATTTACAGAACTCTCCACCCCAAATCAACAGAATATACATTCTTCTCAGCACCACACCGCACTTATTCCAAAATTGACCACATAGTTGGAAGTAAAGCACTCCTCAGCAAATGTAAAAGAACAGAAATTATAACAAACTGTCTCTCAGACCATAGTGCAATCAAACTAGAACTCAGGATTAAGAAACTCACTCAAAACTGCTCAACTACATGGAAACTGAATAACCTGCTCCTGAATGACTACTGGGTAAATAACGAAATGAAGGCAGAAATAAAGATGTTCTTTGAAACCAACAAGAACAAAGACACAACATACCAGAATCTCTGGGACACTTTTAAAGCAGTGTGTAGAAGGAAATTTATAGCACTAAATGCCCACAAGAGAAAGGAGGAAAGATCTAAAATTGACACCCTAACATCACAACTAAAAGAACTAGAGAAGCAAGAGCAAACACATTCAAAAGCTAGCAGAAGGCAAGAAATAACTAAGATCTGAGCAGAATTGAAGGAGATAGAGACACAAAAAACCCTTCAAAAAATCAATGAATCCAGGAGCTGGTTTTTTGAAAAGATCAACAAAATTGATAGACCACTAGCAAGACTAATAAAGAAGAAAAGAGAGAAGAATCAAATAGATGCAATAAAAAATGATAAAGGGGATATCACCACCGATCCCACAGAAATACAAACTGCCATCAAAGACTACTATAAACACCTCTACGCAAATAAACTAGAAAATCTAGAAGAAATGGATAAATTTCTCGACACATACACCCTCCCAAGACTAAACCAGGAAGAAGTTGAATCTCTGAATAGATCAATAACAGGCTCTGAAATTGAGGCAATAATTAATAGTCTACCAGCCAAAAAATGTCCAGGACCAGATGGATTCACAGCCGAATTCTACCAGAGGTACAAGGAGGAGCTGGTACCATTCCTTCTGAAACTATTCCAATCAATAGAAAAAGAGAGAATCCTCCCTAATTCATTTTATGAGGCCAGCATCATCCTGCTACCAAAGCCTGGCAGAGACACAACAAAAAAGGGAATTTTAGACCAATATCCCTGATGAAATCGATGCAAAAATCCTCAATAAAATACTGGCAAACCGAATCCAGCAGCACATCAAAAAGCTTATCCACCATGATCAAGTGGGCTTCATCCCTGGGATGCAAGGCTGGTTCCAGATACGCAAATCAATAAACGTAATCCAGCATATAAACAGAACCAAAGACAAAAACCACATGATTATCTCAATAGATGCAGAAAAGGCCTTTGACAAAATTCAACAATGCTTCATGCTAAAAACTCTCAATAAATTAGGTATTAATGGGACGTATCTCAAAATAATAAGAGCTATTTATGACAAACCCACAGTCAGTATCATACTGAATGGGCAAAAACTGGAAGCATTCCCTTTGAAAACTGGCACAAGACAGGGATGCCCTCTCTCACCACTCCTATTCAACATAGTGTTGGAAGTTCTGGCCAGGGCAATCAGGCAGGAGAAAGAAATAAAGGGTATTCAATTAGGAAAAGAGGAAGTCAAATTGTCCCTGTTTGCAGATGACATGATTGTATATTTAGAAAACCCCACTGTCTCAGCCCAAAATCTCCTTAAGCTGATAAGCAACTTCAGCAAAGTCTCAGGATACAAAATCATTGTGCAAAAATCATAAGCATTCTTATACACCAATAACAAACAGAGAGCCAAATCATGAGTGAATTCCCATTTACAATTGCTTCAAAGAGAATAAAATACCTAGGAATCCAACTTACAAGGGATGTGAAGGACCTCTTCAAGGAGAACTACAAACCACTGCTCAATGAAATAAAAGAGGATACAAACAAATGGAAAAACATTCCATGCTCATGGATAGGAAGAATCAATATCGTGAAAATGGCCATACTGCCCGAGGTAATTTATAGATTCAATGCCATCCCCATCAAGCTACCAATGACTTTCTACACAGAATTGGGAAAAAACTACTTTAAAGTTCATATGGAACCAAAAAAGAGCCCGCATTGCCAAGTCAATCCTAAGCCAAAAGAACAAAGCTGGAGGCATCACGCTACCTGACTTCAAACTATACTACAAGGCTACAGTAACCAAAACAGCATGGTACTGGTACCAAAACAGAGATATAGACCAATGGAACAGAACAGAGCCCTCAAAAATAATACCACACATCTACAACCATCTGATCTTTGACAAACTTGACAGAAACATGAAATGGGGAAAGGATTCCCTATTCAACAAATAGTGCTGGGAAAACTGGCTAGCCACATGTAGAAAGCTGAAACTGGATCCCTTCCTTACACCTTATACAAAAATTAATTCAAGATGGATTAAAGACTTAAATGTTAGACCTAAAACCATAAAAACCCTAGAAGAAAACCTAGGCATTACCATTCAGGACATAGGCATGGGCAAGGACTTCATGTCTAAAACACCAAAAGCAATGGCAACAAAAGCCAAAATTGACAAATGGGATCTAATTAAACTAAAGAGCTTCTGCACAGCAAAAGAAACCACCATCAGAGTGAACAAGCAACCTACAGAATGGGAGAAAATTTTTGCAATCTACTCATCTGACAAAGGGCTAATATCCAGAATCTACAAAGAACTCAAACAAATTTACAAGAAAAAAACAAACAACCCCATCAACAAGTGGGCGAAGGATATGAACAGACACTTCTCAAAAGAAGACATTTATGCAGTCAACAGACACATGAAAAAATGCTCATCATCACTGGCCATCAGAGAAATGCAAATCAAAACCACAATGAGATACCATCTCACACCAGTTAGAACGGTGATCATTAAAAAGTCAGGAAACAACAGGTTCTGGAGAGGATGTGGAGAAATAGGAAAACTTTTACACTGTTGGTGGCACTGCAAACTAGTTCAACCATTGTGGAAGACAGTGTGGCGATTCCTCAGGGATCTAGAACTAGAAATACCATTTGACCCAGCCATCCCATTACTGGGTATATACCCAAAGGATTATAAATCATGCTGCTGTAAAGACACATGCACACGTATGTTTATTGCGGCACTATTCACAATAGCAAAGACTTGGAACCAACCCAAATGTCCAACAATGATAGACTGGATTAAGAAAATGTGGCACATATACACCATGGAATACTATGCAGCCATAAAAAATGATGAGTTCATGTCCTTTGTAGGGACATGGATGAAGCTGGAAACCATCATTCTCAGAGAACTATCACAAGGACAAAAAACCAAACACTGCATGTTCTCACTCATAGGTGGGAAATGAACAATGAGAACACTTGGACACAGGAAGGGGAACATCACACAATGGGGCCTGGGGGGGAGGGGGGAGGGATAGCATTAGGAGATATACCTGATGTAAATGACGAGTTAATGGGTGCAGCACACCAACATGGCACATGTATACATATGTAACAAACCTGCACATTGTGCACAGGTACCCTAGAACTTAAAAGTATAATAAAAAATATATTTTAAAAGAATTTCTTCCAGTACTGAGGGGATAACCGTCTAGTGTTTACACTGATTTTAAATATCTTTCAGTCTGACACACATCCAGAGGCAATTTTTAATTGCTGCTTCTGACAAACTATAGCCACTTTGACTTCCCAAAAGTCTCTGACAAATAGCCTGGAAACTCCCACTCAAAAACGATCGTTCTTGTTTGTGAACCTTTCCGACAGACCAGGCTGGCCAACTGTGTCATAATGTATTGCTGTAATTAAGCATTTTGACGGGAAACAGACTTGTTTATGTTCCTAGCCAATGTGCCCTGCTAGGTTTCACACCCGGAGCTGAAGACAGAAACTGAACAGGGAAGCCGGAGCGCAACAGAGGAGCCTGTCAGATATAGAAACTGTACATTTCTGCCAGAGCCTGGGGGGCAGTGTTGTTCTTGCCCATACTCGCTCTGTGACATCAACTGTATGGACTCAGATGGAACCGACTCTGACATTTGCTGTTTTAAAAGGCAGGCATGTTGGAAGTTCTTCCTCTGTGTTTCCAGTCCTAGTTAACAGCATAGCCATCCATCTGGTCAACCACGCTGGAAAATGCAGGGACAACCTTGATCTCTGCCTCTCCTTCCGCCTTGCATATTCAGTCCATCACATGGGCTTTCAATTCCATCTCAGAAAAGTGTTGAGACAAAATCCGTCCCTTTCCACCCCCATAATCACTATCGATACTTTATGCCCTCATTTTTCTTGGACTAGTTTTCTTGACTTTAGTTAGATCCTTTTACCTAGCTTGAGTCTAACTCTCTTTAACTCAGCTTTTAAGCTGCTGCCTGGGTTATTTTTCTAAATCACAGATTATCCAGTGATCCCACTTAAAAAAAAAAAAAAAAAACTTGACCCTAATCACCTGTAATCACCGGCAACATTATTTTCCAAAATGAGATCTAGGGAACTCTAGCACTACAGGATTTTTACAGGTATTATTGGAAGCAAGGATTTTGTTTGGTAAACTATACTTAGGACTGCGAAGTTAAAAGATGGGTTTATTATTCTTTATTATATAATGTGCCAGCTGGGCACAGTGGCTCACACCAGTAATCCCAGCACTTTGGGAGGCCAAGACGGGCAGGAGTTCAAGACCAGTCTGGCTAACATGGCAAAACCCCGTTTCTATTAAAATACAAAAATTAGCCGGGGATGGTGGTGCACTCCTGTAATCCCAGCTACTCAGGAGGCTGAGGCAGGAGAATCACTTGAACCGGGAAGCGGAGGTTGCAATGAGCCGAGATCGCACCACTGCACTCCAGCCTGGGTGACAGAGTGAGACTCTGTCTCAAAATATAAAAAATAAAATAAAAATGTGCCAGAGCCTTTAAAGTGCTCTTGTATATCATGTAGCTCCAAGAGACAGGGTGGAGCACTTGGGGATTTCCAAACGTATCCGTTCTGGAACTCTTTTTAAAGAGTATATTGTAGGCCAGGTGTGGGGGCTCACCCCTGTAATCCCTGCACTTTGGGAGGCCGAGGCAGGTAGATCATCTGAGGTCAGGAGTTTGAGACCAGCCTGGCCAACATGATGAAACCCCGTCTCTACTAAAAATACAAAAAAATTAGCTGGGCGTAGTGGCACACGCCTATAGTCCCAGCTACTTGGGAGGCTGAGGCAGGAGAATCGCTTGAACCCAGGAGGTGGAGGTTGCAGTGAGTCGAGATCGTGCCACTGCACCCCAGCCTGGGCAATAAGAGCAAAACTCTGTCTCAATAAATAAATAAATAAATAGAGTATATTGTAAAAGTAGGGCTGTTATGTTCCTATGGAGCATACTTCAGAGGATGCTGATCTAAAGTATAGCATAAAGATCAAGATCTGGCCCTGAAACTCCCTTTCCAGCCATGATGGTATGAATTCGGATATGACACAACTAGTGGTTGGTTCCCATCCTCTGTCTGGCCCATTTTCAAACACGGTAGTGTGGACCCTTTCTCATCCATTCTCATCTTCTGGGTCAGGGGAAAATTAGCAAGTGACTGCCTCCTGGTGAAATTGAAATAGTGTCATCCCTCCACACAGAAGTGGCATGATCGTTGTGTTTGGGAAGGCTTAGAAAGTGGGAAACATGAGCTTGACAGACTGCTCTCTGAAGCGAGAGGGCTGCCACGGGGCAGGCTGCTGATGGTGACAGCACCAGCTCCCCGATTTGAACAAGACACCCTGGAGCCAACAAGGGCTTTTTTCTGTGGCCAGTCCAGAAAACTTGTCCCTAGCGCTCCCCTGAAGACCTTTCGGCTTCTACTGCAGGCCATGCGCTCCCAGCCTGCCAAGGAAGAGGCCCAGCCTGCACTCAACAGTCGCCCCCACCCCATGGCACCGGACCACTCTCTCCCGTGCCATGCTGTCCTCTTGGCAAGGCTGATCCCAAATGATCTTAGACTCTGTCTTTGATGATCTGCTTGTGAGAGCCTGAGTGAGAGCAGCTCATCAGGTCACACCCCAGTGAGCGAGAACAAGGCTGGGAAGAAGGGAGAGTGGAAGAACCCTGATTATGTCAGTCTCTTTCATAACCCTCCACGGCCCTCTATTATCTAACCAAGATGACTCTTGGTCTGACATCAGGATTCTCTGCGACAGCCCATCCTCCACAACCCATCCCTCTAATTACTGGGACAGCACAGTGATTAAGAGTGAACCATGGAGGTAGGACTCTTTGACTCAAACCCTACCTCTACATGACCTTAACTTCTCCGAGCCTTGGGCTCCATGTCTGTAAATAGAAGGCAATGGTAATAAATAGTGCCCTGCTTCCATGATTGTTTTCAGAATTGAGATCATGCATGTGAAGTGCTTAGCCCATAACAAGCATTCAATAAACCAGGGGTTTGTAAACTCTGGTCTGTGGACCAAATTCAGCCCACCACCTGTTTTTATAAGTAAAGTTTTATTGGAACACAGCCACACCTGTATGATCTATGGCTTCTTTCCTGCTATAGCAGCAGAGGTAAGTCATTGCAACAGAGACTGTGTTGTCCACAAAGCCTAAAATATTTATCATCTGGCCCTTTACCAAAAAAAAAATTGTCCAACCCCTGCAATAAATGCTAACTTGTTAGTGTATTCCATTCAAGCCATATTGCTCACCATTTCTTGAATGCACCCTGTCATTTCCTCCTCTGTCCTTTGCCGAGGCCTTCTGTTCACCTAGAATGCCCTTTTCACCCACCTGCAGAGCTAAAACACCTAACACAATGTCCGACTCTAGTAATTCTCAGTAGCTGTTTCTTTCTTCTCTTCCCAGCTATGAACTTCTATGACTCTAAGATTCTCCTGATCCTATTACAGCTAAAAATGTTATCTTTCTAACATCAGTTTCTTCATTGATGCAAACTTCTGACACTGTTTTCAGATACAACTTTATATGTCCCTGTTCCTTTTTTTTCAATAGGACCTCAATAAATATTTGTTAAATGAATGACAATCATGCTATATATCATCATATATGTCTCTGTGCCCCCTAGGCTTCAATTCAAGCATTAGCTTCTCCAGGAAACCACCCCTGAACCTACAGTTTGGACAGGTGGGTAGTCTCAGTGAAGCACCACAAAGATCCAATCTGATCAAGGATACATTTGGAGTCCAGAGACTATAGAAATGGTGAGGACATGCCTTTATTATTCCTGCTAGATAACCATCCACACAGTGCTGAAAGTGCCTCACACGGGGACCCGAAGCACTACTTGTTGTCTCCTTTGTCATCATCATAGTCATCAACTTCCTCTCTTCCTCCTCCTCTTCCTTCTTCTTCCCTTTTCTTTAAAAATTATAAACTATATCATGCAGAGTAATTGTATATACACATATATAGTTTAAATGACGAATAGTCTAATATATAATTTAAATAATAATAAAGCAAACACCTACGTGGCCACTACCCAGCTTAGGTAATGGACCACCATCCATCAATGACGGGGACACTCTCTTCATACGCATGTCCATTACACCCCCTCACTCTCCATCTTCCACCATAGGTAGCCACTATCTTGATTTTCATGTTATTTAATCTTTTACTTTTCTTTCAATTCTACCCCGTATCTCTAAGCAATACATTATTGACTTTTGTCTGTTGTTCGCCTTTATGTAAATTGAACCACACTGGATGCATTCTTCTATGACTTGTTTTTTTGTTTTTGTTTTTAAGATTCACCAGTATTGATTCTTGGAACTATACTTTCTCCATTTTCACTGCGCATAGTATTCTGCCGTATGAATACGCCAAAATGTACCTATCCACCACTGTTAATGAACATATTGCATTGTTTTATATTTTTACTCTTATAACTAAGGATACTATACATACTCCTGCCAATTATAGTCCTTGTAATATGTTCCTCAGTGTAATTGCAGAGGTGCTAGAAGATTCAACTTTGTTAATTGATGCAAAATTGTCTTCTGATGCAGTTGTGCCTATTCATGCTCCTAACAGCATTGTGGGAGAGGCCTCTGCTTCACAGCCTCAGCAACACTTTATATTATTTTACTTTATTTTTTGCCAATTGAGTGTAAATTGATATCCCTTAGTGGGTTTTATTTTATTGTTTGAGACAGGGTCTTGCTCTGCCACCCAGGCTGGAGTGCAGTGGTGTGTCCATAGCTCACTGCAACCTTCATTTCCGGGCCTCAAGCGATCCTCCCACCTCGGCCTCCCAAAGCGCTGGGATCAGAGGCGTGAGTCATCTCACCAGGCCAGTGGCTTTAAAATTTATATTTTCCCACTTGCTAATGAGGTGGAACATTTTTTCATAAACTTATTGGCCATTTATGTTTTTTCTTCTGTGAAATGTTCATTCATGTCTTTTGCCTATTTTTAAATGTCTTTTTTTTAGTGATTGATTTTTTCATTTATTTAAAAAAATTTTTTTCTTAAAGATTGGTAAGAATCTTTTTTACGTATTCTGGATTCTAATCTTTTGTCCATTCTATGTGTTACAAATAACTGTTCTGGAACTCCTAAAAGAAGATCCCTATTTAGGAATCCTGTCCCAAAAGGATTCACGTCTCGAGTACCAAGTCTGGTGACTCAGCTCAGAGCAGCAGATTCCTGAGTGCTGAGGTTGCAGGGTGCAGCCAGGGCCAAGCTTAGTTTTCCTACTGGGGCAATACAGATGAATAGAAGTCCTGTGACCACTGCATCCATGGTGCTGGTAACCAAACCTAGAATTCTGGGGCTCCAGACAGCGTCTGGGATGCTCTCTGGAGACACAATCATGGGCAAGGGTTTCTATTGTCCCTTCTTCTTCAGCAGTTCTCAGCATCATCTCAGCAGTTCTCAGTTCCCACAAGCTGCCTCCTGCCCGCTTGTCATCAGAGCTGATTGGTCCAGGGAGGCTGAGGAGCCTAATGACCACTCCTGTTCTGTGTGGTCAACGTCCAGCTGGTCAGCGTCCAGAAGCTTCTGCTCAGCAAATAGCCTTTGGCTGCTCACGCACAGCCTCTCTAGCGATGTCTCAGCTCAGTTTTTCAGCGGCTGGCTGGGCTTTTTCAAGGCCCAGCCAGGGTAAGAAATAGCTTGGAGTCTGCCTGCTGTGCCTGGAGAAAGGCAACCCATGTCAGGCTCCGCAGCAGCTCACTGCCAGCACCCTCTAGGCGCTCATCTAATGCGCAGGGAGGCAGAACACAGCTCTCCATGCTCCCTGAAGAGGCCTTTCACAACGCAGAGAAAGAGAGCCCAGCAATACCCCTGCAATGTGTGGGGGACTGAGGTCTCAGAAACAGCCTCTTTGTCAGTATGAAAACAAAGACATGGACCTAAAGTCCTAAATTGTGTTTTCCAAAAGGCAAATACGTAAAATATGTAAACCAACTTTACTTCAACCTTGATTTACAATAACTTTTCCAGATCTGAGAAAATTCCCCAAATTAAAAATCCAAAATGGATTCCCTTGGCATGTTTGAAAACATGCTTCCTCTCTGGTCCAACTATTTTAAAATTCTACTGAATTTTTAAATTTACCGTGGCCGGGCATGGTGGCTCGCACCTATAATCCCAGCACCTTGCAAGGCCGAGGTAGGTGGATCACCTGAGGTCAGCAGTTCAAGGACAGCCTAGCCAACATGGTGAAACCCTGTCTCTACTAAAAATACAAAAATTAGCTGGGTGTGGTGGCACACGCCTGTTATCCCAGCTACTGGGGGAGGCTAAGGCAGGAGAATCACTTGAATCTGGGAGGCAGAGGTCGCAGTGAGGTGAGATCGCGCCATTGCACTCCAGCCTGGGTGACAAGAGCAAAACTCTGTCTCAAAATAAATAAATAAATTAAATTAAAATAATTAAAATTCTAGAGGTGAAGAAAAAACCCTGGTCCTTTATTTTCCGTGAGTGCCCTCAGTACCCCAAAAGAGGGAAAGCTCCCTTTCTGGAGAGGAATTCATTATCTCCACTAGAACTACCTTCCATTGTACACGTTAATTCACATGAGGCAGGCTATCAGGAAGTGAAATCTCTGGGTACCATGAAAACTTATTTCAGTTATTGATTTAAACTTCTTTTCCTGGGAAAAGTATAAAGAAAAAGAGCATCAGAGTTGATTCCATGTTTTAAAATAACCTAAATAGAGATACATTTGCCAATAAAATAACACGAAGTGAGAAAGAAGGGTAGACAGTGTCTAGAAACTAAGTTAACCCTCCTTCCTCTAGAGCTGATAAAAAGAGATCAGCTTCTTAAAAAGAAATCATATTCTTCCAATAGTAATAAAAACTGAGGTGTACAGGAACAAATCAATCCTGTGTTAAATGCGTGAGATTATGTTTGCATCCCCCTCATTTCCTACTTATTGTACTACAGACTTAAAGCAATTTCGGACACATTGGAAAAGCCGTCGGAACACTACATTCCAAAACAACAACTGTGAAATGGTCACAGGATACTGCCCAGTTCATCCCCATTTTTTTCATCCCAGAACACAAGAGGATGAATGGATGCAAACCAACTGGAGCCTGGAAAGATGAGTATACAAAAGCTATTCTGTAGGTGAAGTTGTTAAATACACCATTTCAGGGATACATATGTAATAGAAGGAGAAGATAATTAAAGGAAAAGGAAGGAAGGAAAGGAAGGAAACGAAAGGAAAGAAAGGAAGGAAAGGAAGGAAGGGAGGGAAGGGAAGGAAGGGAAGGAAGGAAGGAAGGAAGGAAGGAAGGAAGGAAGGAAGGAAAGGAAGGAAGGAAGGAAGGGGAAGGAAGGAAGGAAGGGGAAGGGAAGGGAAGGGAAGGGAAGGGAAGGAAACCCGTTTGGAAATGAGAAGATGTAAATAACACTGAGCTACATTACAGGGTAATGGGAAAATAACCTATCACTAAACACTATTGATTCTCTCTCTTAAACATTCCTCTGATTTGCCTCTTCTCTCTGCCATCCAAATCCAGGCCCATATCATCTCTCCCTTGGAAGATGTGGCAGCCTCTTAAATACACTTGCTCCTCCATCTCTCCCATACCAATCAATCCTACACACACTTCCAAAGTGCTTTCCCCAAAATGCAAGTCAAATCAGAACAGCTCCCCAGTGCCCGCAGCATAAAATCAAAACTGCCCAGCCAGGCAGGCTCGGCCCTTTACGATCTGACCTTGCCTTTCTCTCTGGCCCAGCTTCTCCCGAATGTGTTCTGTAGAATACTAATTCAAAGGGATGTTACAGACACAGACACACAAAATGGTTTCTTGGTGAAATAAATTGAGCAAGTGCTAGCAGGACAAAGTTAAGTGCAGGATTCTTCAGAACCTTTTAAATGCTAATAAACATTATGAATTTCCAAGAGAGTCTAATAAACACTGCAGTGCTCCAGCCAACTTTCCTCTTCAGGGTAGACAAACCTATCCTCCAGCTTCTGGGAATATTGGCCACTGACCATTCACAGGCCACCACCTAGAGCTCTGGCTCTCACTGGGATTTGTCCTCAGCCACAGAGCACTGTCTTAACCAAGGATGTGCCTTGGGTATAAGTGACTGGTGATCTAAAGGCCTGGCCCTCTTGCCTCAATTTGGGACCACTCTGAAAGGCCATCCCAGCCCTAACGCTCTCTGGAGGATAGTCTGAGACCTCAGCTCCAACCACATCAGGTATCAGTGTGGAGGCCATGGAATGTGCCTGGTAGAATTCCAACTACAGGGAGCATGAGTGACCCAGGGCCCCATGTTCCGAAACGTGTCTATGTGTACACTGAGGCCATGTCTACAGTGGGCTACTGCCAGTCCTGAGAGGCACGGGATGTCTTTGCCAGTAGACTTTGGCTGCAGCATTCTCCAACGGCAATCTCAGATGCTCCCACCCAAACTCCACCAGCCCCAGTGATATGCTGGTAAATGTTCACCAACTACATGATTTTACTATAAATTGTGCTGATATAACAGATATGTAACACACAACGTATACGTAATAATAAAATACACAATACGGTTTATTGTAAGCTCCATATAGCCATTGATTCTCACCGAATGCTTTCATTGGTTTTTGCTGAATTCTGCATCTGTAGTCAGCGTAGGGTCATCAGGGATGATTGAGCGTAGACACAACATGAAGGTTGATTGACATTCTGTTTATATTAATGAATAAGGCAAAAGTGAAAGCAAAAAATGTGCATCAGAGCTTCACCTGATAGACAATGACATGAGTGAATTCTTTGTTGAATCCAATAAGGGTTTTCAAATATCAGAAGCATGTAACCTCAATGCTTGTGCTATTCACAATGTCACAGCTACAGACATGACGCACTTTTTTGGTTTAATATGCATTATTAGCATCCTTTCCATCACTTTTTAAGCCTGGCAATCAACAAAACAATAAGTCAGGCCCCAGTTTGAAGCATTTGTCCATTTTTGTGATGCCAATAGTTGCACCATGGCTGATTTCAAGCTACTAGCGTGTGGTCAGAGTGTGGAGATGGGAAGAGATGGGCCCTGTATCCCATGACACAAGTAGGCACAGGGCGTCTGGCCAGTGGAAGTCCCAGGGGCCTGAGGTGGGTCTGTCTCACTTCCTTACACGCACGCCTCCCTGGAGCATTCGCCAAGAGACCTTCTGCACATAAGTCTCCACCTCAGAGTCTATTTTTAGGAAATCCAATATAAGACAACAGGGAATACAACATGCAGCATGCCCCAAATGTACTGATCATGGGACCAATTTCCATAGAGCGTCTCACAGAACTAGTGTTTTGTGGAATAAAATTTAGGAAAATGTGACCCAGCTTCTCCTCCTACACCTACTTATCCATTTACATGCAAGTCTCCAAATACACTATGTTTCTCCAGGCTGCAATTCCTTGCACATCTGTTCCTTTTCCTGGAATTTCAAGTGGACCATGAGGAGGAAGAAGTCAGTTCCCTGGAGAAATAAGGGGAGGAAGGAGAGGAAGGTTTAACCATATTCAGCAATACACACACAGAGTATTCATGCCATATGAATCAGGCCTCAGGATCACATTAGGTGCATATGAATCAGGATTTTGAATCAGGATTTGTGGGTACTCAGAGATTCTCTGCGTTCATTCAGGGGTTTGACTTCAGAAGGCAACAGAAGAGCCACCTGTCTCCTGGCTGCTTGGGAAGACACCACGGGAAGGGTACTTCTTAGAAACACAAGGTAGAAACAGGTTCTTGGTTCTTAACCAAAAGTTTTTCTTCACAGAAGATCAACTGTTTTTAAAATGAGAAAACAAAATCCTAAAGACAGCAAAATAAATGATCAAAACCAGAGTGCAGCCAGACGCAGTGGCTCATGCCTGTAATCCCAGGACTTTGGGAGGCTGAGGTGGGTGGATCACTTGAGGTCAAGAGTTCAAGACCAGCCTGGCCAACACGACGAAACCCCACCTCTACTAAAAATACAAAAAAGTTAGCCAGTCATGGTGGTGCACACCTGTAGTCCCGGCTACTTGGGAGGCTGAGGCAGGAGAATTGCTTGAACCAGGGAGGTGGAGATTGCAGTGAGCAGAGATTATGCCACTGCACTCCAGCCTGGGCAACAGAGGGAGACCCTGGCTCAGAAAAAAAATAAACAAACAGAGTGCTAGATACACGCTTCCCTCCCAACCCTGGCAAAGGCCTTTCAGGCCAGCGTTAACTCTTTTGCATATACTGCTCAGGATAGATGCTCAGATATTTTGAAGCCAATAGTGTTACTGCAAGTTAGGAGCAACCAGCACCATCGGGAGGCACGGAGTCTAGAGCCAAGATGCAGCCGGGCTTAAATCCCAGCTCTCCACTTTGCTGTGTGACCTTGATCAAGTTGCTTTACCTCTCTGAGTTTCAGTTTCTTCTATCTGCAAACTATAGATGATAATACTTACATGTTAAGAGTTGCTGTCAAGAGCATGGACAACATCCACAAAATGCTTGGTGCATCTGGTACATGCTAACTATCACTATTATTAAAATGCTCATTATCAAAAATTAAACAGAAAAACCGAGGCACTAGGGCTTATTTCTTCTTGTAAGCCTATATGACTGTTTTACACTGAATGAGATTGGGAATCCACATCCTTTGGTTTCTCAACCAGATCTTTGGAGTCCCGTATCATACTAATGATCGTCAATGACCTGAAAAATCATCCAAAGCTCGGCTGGTGCTGACAATGACATTTTCCATGATGGTGGACATAAAACTATAATCTGCTTTTAGATTTGTACCTGGCAAGATGCTTTTAGAAAATTATTTAAATTTTCAATATAATGACGGTTGCTTTCTTTTACAATAATTGGCTGATGGGTAGACTAGAAGCCTAACCCTCACCATTATGTAATATACCCATGCAGCAAACCTGCGCAAGTACCCCCAAATCTATAACATTTTAAAAAATAAAACAAATAACAAAAACCAGCTAAAAGTATAGATGGGAAATATTTCTCTGAGTGCTGCACCATTTTGATGGAAGCTGACAGATTAAAATTCTCAACAAATAAACCCACCGTGGAATGCTAAAGTACACTTTCGGGCAATTTTTCAGAGCAATGGATTCAATTTATTCTTGTCACCATAGCAACAAGAGGAATCGTTCTATTATTTTCATCATAGCATTTCCAATTATTTTCTCTCGCCTAGGCCATAGACAAAACTAGAAGGAATGAGGTTGACCACAAAATGAACCAAAAACTCATAACTTCCTCCCTGGATTAAAGGTTCCTCTTGGGTAGGTAATGCTCTTTAGCCATCATAAATCCCATATTAAAGTCTCCAGATCATCACTAAAAAAAAAAAGAAAAAATTATTTACTTACGAACATATCACTTTGTCCCTTTTGAATTGGGGGAAGCAAGAAATGAGACCATTTTACCAATTATATACACTTTAAAAACGTAAAACTAGTCATTTAATTTTCAGAGAGGTTTCCTTTGGGGGGGGGTGAAAGTAAATAATGTTATGCTTCAATGATTACACGCTCTCAAAAACTAAGCATGATTCTATTCTATGCCTCTACATTGTCAAATTTCGTATATGGGGGTTAAAATCACATGGCAGCGACTTATCCCTGAGGTCAGTGTGTCAGATGTGGCCCTTCACACACAAGACAGAGAGGAAGAGGCATAAATGTTCAAGCAGCACTGATTATTTACCACACACAATACCCACATGACCCCTTAAGAAGAATGCACCTAGGGAGCAGCCAAAGATAAATACATTCTACAGAAATGAATACAAATGACTTTTCTATCTATGTTACCAGCACACTCAGGCCTTACCAGCTTTGGGCATAAAATGATGCCACAGTTTAATACCCACTCACTGGATTAGAGAAACGGATCCTCCTTCTTTCTGTGTCCCTTTCCCACTCCTGCCACATATCTGATCATCTGAAGGTGCAGCCTCCAGGAGGCTCAGAAATCTGACCTCCACTCCATCTCTTCAGCTTCCTTCTCAGCCGGTTCGCTTTGACCACAGCTCCCTTCCCGCAGCTCCAAGATGGCGGCCACCGCCAAGGGAGGAGCCGCTGCCCTTCCCTTTTCATTTCTTCCTAAACTCAATACATTCCCTTCTCTTAATTCCTGACAGCATGGCTGAGCACTGTGGTTGCTTTCATATTTCCACAGAAAGGTCCAGGGATGAGAGAAGACATGGTGCGGCCACTCTCAGAGCCCATGGCCCTAATGTCACTGTGGCTATCGGAATGTTTGGCAATGATGGAAATATTCTACATCTGCACCGTCCAGTACAAGAGCCACGAACCACTACTATGGCTACTGAGCATTGTACTGTGGCTACTATGACGGGGGAACTGAATTTTACTTTTACTTATTTACTTTTTATTTTAATGAGTTTAAATTTAAGTTAGCCACATGTGGCTAGTGGCTGCTGCGTTGAGCAGCACAGTTCCAGATAAATCCATGGAGCCCTTCAAAAAACACCTCTCTGTATGTCCCTCTGTAGCCAGAAGCCAACCCTTTCCCCTCCAGGATTCCAATCCCAGGCCAACTTTCTGAGGTCCTAGTAGCTTCCCTTCCTCTCCTGACCACATCACTTGATCCAAGCTCAGCTTCTTCTCACATCCATTCAGTGCTCCTAGAGGTAGGGTAGCTGCTTTCCTCCTTTTCATAGCAGCTTCTAAATCATTCTCTCTTCCTCTTCCATTAAAAAAAAAAAAAAAAAAAGTTTTGGCTGGGCACGGTGGCTCACGCCTGTAATCCCAGCACTTTGGGAGGCCAAGGTGGGCAGATCACCTGAGTTCGGGAGTTCGAGACCAGCCTGACCAACATGGAGAAACCCTGTCTCTACTAAAAATACAAAATTAGCCAGGCATGGTAGCACATGCCTGTAATCCCAGCTATTCGGGAGGCTGAGACAGGAGAATCGCTTGAACCCAGGAGGTGGAGGTTGCAGTGAGCCGAGATCGTGCCATTGCACTCCAGCCTGGGCAACAAGAGTGAAACTCCATCTCAAAAAAAAAAAAAAAAGTTTTGACTTTCATATCATCACTTCATCTATTGCCACTGTCACCTACTGACCTCGAGGTCACTCCCCTTAACTTAGCTCTTGGCTCACTGCCACTCTCTTCACTACTACAGTGACTCTGGCCTCACGGTTTCTTGAGCTGTCTTCTTTCTGAGATTTTTTTTTCCCATTGGAATTTCCCACCCAACTCAGGCACACTCATATCTATGACCATGCCCCAGTCATTACTGGGAACTGCAACCTTGACATTTCCTGGACAGCAAGCATTTTCCCTCAGACAACTGTCTTCTGCCTCCCCGTTTCCCTCCCTCTTGTGCCCAACCCCCACAATCCTTTGGCTATGCTGGAACCTCCAGTCTATTGATCCTAACCCCTTTTCACTGTCCCTCATCCTTGTTCTCTTCCATTCTGACTCCACTTAGATTCTATGGTCAGTCACCGTAATTTATTCCTTTCATGTCCTTTCAACTCCCTTCCTCCACTTCTGTTTTCTTATACGTACTTGGCAAAACTAAAGCCCTAGATAAAACCATTCCTCTACCTATTTCATCCCTCCACTCATGCAACTAATCATGGCTGGAAAAAAAAAATGCCCATGGTGACTGGTCCCAGCTTAACTATACCAACACAAGGCTCAAGAGGGCCCTAATGCCACCAGGCAATCATAGCGTGCATCCCTAATCTGTTCACTTCCCTTCTGCCTCAGAAGGCTATTTTATATTTTTTTCTTACTCCTTAAACTTCCTACACTTCCCACCTCATCCTCACTCTTGCTTCATACTGCTCTGAGAAAATTGCAGCCATCAGAGTAAAACATCCATTTCTAGCAGAGGACTTGTACCCCAAAAAAGAGCTCTCTCAGAACTCAACAATAAGAGAACACCTAAAGTTTATTTTTTTTTAATGGGCAAAAAACCTGAATGTACTCTTCACCATGGAAATATATGAATGGCAAATAAGCAAATGAAAAGATATTCAGTATAATCATCAGGGAAATGCAAATTAAAATCACGAGATATCACTACACACCTACTAGAATGGCTATGGAAATAAATGACAGCTAGTGCTGACGAGGATGCAGAACAACTGGAAATCATACATTACCAGTGAGAATGCAAAATGGTACCACACCTGGATATCAGTCTGGTTTTGTATAGTTTTTTTATAAAGTTAAGCATACACTTACTATATGACTCAACAATCCCACTCTGAAGTATCCTAAGAGAAATGGAAATGTATGTTAACAC